>NT_167245.2:4221379-4348541 GCF_000001405.40 Homo sapiens
GGCCAAATCGTCTTCAGAGTCCTCCAGTGAGGAAAGTAGCAGTGAGAGCTCCTCTGAGGAAGAGGAGGAGGAAGATGAGGACGAGGAGGAAGAAGAGAGTGAAAGCTCAGACTCAGAGGAAGAAAGGGCTCATCGCTTAGCAGAACTACAGGAACAGGTATTTTGTCACTCTTGAAAGTTTTTATTGGGTAAGAGGTTCATGCCCTTTGTCCTCATTTTTTCTTCTTGTTATTTTATCTTTATTTACTTTTTCCACTTCATGTTTTTTTTCCTTTAGCTTCGGGCAGTACATGAACAACTGGCTGCTCTGTCCCAGGGTCCAATATCCAAGCCCAAGAGGAAAAGAGAGAAAAAAGAGAAAAAGAAGAAACGGAAGGCAGAGAAGCATCGAGGCCGAGCTGGGGCCGATGAAGATGACAAGGGGCCTAGGGCACCCCGCCCACCTCAACCTAAGAAGTCCAAGAAAGCAAGTGGCAGTGGGGGTGGCAGTGCTGCTTTAGGCCCTTCTGGCTTTGGACCTTCTGGAGGAAGTGGCACCAAGTGAGTTAGAGTAGGAAGCAGAGACTAGTTTGGCTATTTCTGTCTCTCTGGGGGATGCCATCTCTCTTTGCAAAGATAATTCTAAATGGCCAGTTAACAGATACAATAGGCTTTGAGCAGTGGTCCCCAACCTTTTTGGCACCAGGGACCAGTTTCGTGGAAGACAGATTTTACCACAGACAGGGTTTGAGGGGATGGTTTTTGGGATGAAACTGTTCCACCTCTGATCATTGGGCCATTGGATTCCCATAAGGAGCATGCAGCCTGGATATGTACCATGCGCACTTCACAGTAGGGTTCATGCTTCTATGAGAATCTAATGCTTCTGCTGATGTGACAGGCAGTGATGCCCACATGCCGGCTGTTCACCTCCTGCGTAGCCCAGTAACAGGCCACGGACTGGTACTGGTCTGGGGGTTGGGACCCCTGGCTTTGGGAGTCAGGGTGTTTCACAGCTACTCTGACAGTGAACTCAAAGTAGCCATAAACTAGAAACATGAAGATGGCTGTGTTCCAAAAAGACTTTATTTGCAAAGACACGTGGCGATCAGATTTGTTCTCTGGGCCATATAGTTTGCCTGTTGCTCTAAATCAATGAGTCTAGACTTGTTTTTCATGGCGTAGTAGTTTTTGGTTTTTTGGTGTGGTTTTGTGTTTTGTTTTTTTTTGTTAGTTTGTTTTTTGTTTTGTTTTTTTTAAAGACTCCAGGCTGGAGTGCAGTGGCGTGATCTCGGCTTACTGCAACCTCCACTTCTCGGGTTCAAGCGATTCTCCTGCCTCAGCCTCCCAAGTAGCCAGGATTACAGGCATGCGCCACCACGCCCAGCTAATTTTTGTATTTTTAGTGCGCAGCTAGTTTATGTAGTTTTAGTGGAGACGGGGTTTCGCCATGTTGGGCAGGCTGGTCTTGAACTCCTGACCTCAAGTGATCTGCCCGCCTTGGCCTCCCAAAGTGCTGGGATTACAAATCTGAGCCACTGCAGCTGGCCCATGGTGTAGTTTGGTAGTGTTTAAGGGAGCAGAAAGACCCATGTCAGTATACCTAAACAGGTATACCTTGTTTTATTGTGCTTCACTTTACGGAGTTTTTTTTAGATACTACTTTTTTTTTTAGTTGAAGATTTGTGACAACCCTGTGTGGAGCAAGTCTTTCAACAGTTTTTCCAACATGTTTGTGTGTCACATTTTTAGTAATATTTTTTCATTAAGGTATGTACGTACATTGTCTTTTTAAAGACATGTTATTGCCTACTTACAGTCAAGAGCAAAATGCTCTGTTTCACTATACAGTGTCCCAGTAGCCCACCTCTTACTTGGCCATTGAATGGAAAAACAGAAGCTCCACTCTGGGCAGGAAATAGGATCACTGAATTATAACAGTGGGAACATACTGGAAGAGGTTAATGAAGCTTCTTTTGCTGACAACTCTTTTTGCCCTTAGGCTCCCCAAAAAGGCCACAAAGACAGCCCCACCTGCCCTGCCTACAGGTTATGATTCAGAGGAGGAGGAAGAGAGCAGGCCCATGAGTTACGATGAGAAGCGGCAGCTGAGCCTGGACATCAACAAATTACCTGGGGAGAAGCTGGGCCGAGTTGTGCATATAATCCAAGCCAGGGAGCCCTCTTTACGTGATTCAAACCCAGAAGAGATTGAGATTGATTTTGAAACACTCAAGCCATCCACACTTAGAGAGCTTGAGCGCTATGTCCTTTCCTGCCTACGTAAGAAACCCCGGAAGCCCTACAGTACGTATGAAATGAGGTTCATCTCATGGTTCTGAGGACAGTTGAGGAAAGATGGTGGGGTCTGTTTGCATTCAGGATTGTCAGCTCCCAGGATAATGGGATGTGTTGGTTGGCAGCTGACGTTCAAGAAGGGAACTTGGGAACCTTAGGGGCCCATAATAAGATGCTTGGGGCAATCTTAATGTATCCTGATAAATTTCTTTCATTAGCCATTAAGAAGCCTGTGGGAAAGACAAAGGAGGAACTGGCTTTGGAGAAAAAGCGGGAATTAGAAAAGCGGTTACAAGATGTCAGCGGACAGCTCAATTCTACTAAAAAGCCCCCCAAGAAAGGTGAGTATATACTTTCATGCCACTACAGATTGACTCCATCCTGCCTTCTTGACTGTCTTTTATTGACAAATGAAGATTCAGACTTGAACGTCTTTAACTTTCGAATTTGTTCTGCAGCGAATGAGAAAACAGAGTCATCCTCTGCACAGCAAGTAGCAGTGTCACGCCTTAGCGCTTCCAGCTCCAGCTCAGATTCCAGCTCCTCCTCTTCCTCGTCGTCGTCTTCAGACACCAGTGATTCAGACTCAGGCTAAGGGGTCAGGCCAGATGGGGCAGGAAGGCTCCGCAGGACCGGACCCCTAGACCACCCTGCCCCACCTGCCCCTTCCCCCTTTGCTGTGACACTTCTTCATCTCACCCCCCCCCCGCCCCCCTCTAGGAGAGCTGGCTCTGCAGTGGGGGAGGGATGCAGGGACATTTACTGAAGGAGGGACATGGACAAAACAACATTGAATTCCCAGCCCCATTGGGGAGTGATCTCTTGGACACAGAGCCCCCATTCAAAATGGGGCAGGGCAAGGGTGGGAGTGTGCAAAGCCCTGATCTGGAGTTACCTGAGGCCATAGCTGCCCTATTCACTTCTAAGGGCCCTGTTTTGAGATTGTTTGTTCTAATTTATTTTAAGCTAGGTAAGGCTGGGGGGAGGGTGGGGCCGTGGTCCCCTCAGCCTCCATGGGGAGGGAAGAAGGGGGAGCTCTTTTTTTACGTTGATTTTTTTTTTTCTACTCTGTTTTCCCTTTTTCCTTCCGCTCCATTTGGGGCCCTGGGGGTTTCAGTCATCTCCCCATTTGGTCCCCTGGACTGTCTTTGTTGATTCTAACTTGTAAATAAAGAAAATATTATTCAAGTTTTGAGTTACCTTAATATTTGCTTTTGTAGTGTTTCAAAAGGAACATCATAAGAATTGTCTTGATAATTTTGAGGGAAATATTACTGCAGTGAGAAAAGGCAATAGCTAACCTATAATTGGATTGTCTTAATTTTTAAACCAGTAGGCTTTTGCTGTGTTTTTAATAAAGTAAATATGACTTTTGTAAATTGAGTCCTTAGAAGTAATCTTTAGGTCTACAATTTGCTCTTGTTTAAATGAAAAATAGTACTGTGGCTCATTCATGCTTTAACCAAGAACTCAAAATTTTGAGGTAGGCTTTAGGTTTTTCCCTGTGGCACTGGATGTGTGAATTTTCTCCTGAGCAGACTTAAAATATGAGAAAAGGGTGGGAGGTAGCCGAACATAAGTACTTTATGCATTGAGTTTATTGCCTTTTAAAAGGAAATTGGCCTGTAATCCCAGCACTTTGGGAGGCCGAGGCGGGCAGATCACGAGGTCAGGAGATCGAGACCATGGTGAAACCCTGTCTACTAAAAAAAAATTAGCTGGGCGAGGTGGCGGGTACCTGTAGTCCCAGCTACTCGGGAGGCTGAGGCAGCAGAATGGCGTGAACTCGGGAGGCGGGGTTCAGTGAGCCGAGATCGCGCCACTGCACTCCAGCCTGGGTGGTAGACACTCCGTCTCAAAAAAAAAAGTAATTGGGCCTACTACATTGTTAAACATTGTTAAATTTTGCTGCCATGGTCACACACAAATTTACAGATAGTTTATTAGTAGAATACTAAAGAGTATTCCAACGATTAAATCACAAAACTGTGCTTTCTGCATACCCCCTTGTCTTGCTAAGGGGAGAGAAGGGTTGTATAAAAAGTTTAGGGGGTTGGGATGTGTGCATTCTGGAATTTGGGGCTTTAATACTGGAAAAGTGAGACATTTGCTTAGTATAGTGTACCATAGTAGGAAACCTGGATAGAGACGTGGAAATTAGAATCAGGAATGTAGTAAAGCAAATGGTTTATTTTGCTGTAAATGACACCACAAACTAAGTGTAGGGCAACACCACAAACTAAATGTAGGAAGCAATAAATTTTACTAGTGATGCTCAGCCCTCTTTAGGAATTCCGGCTAAACTGGGGCTTGAGCAACAATTTTCAAAAGCTCGGGAGATGGTAATAAAAAATTAGGTTTGTGAACCACCTGCTACTGTTTGCCAAGCACTTAGAGGGAAACAAACCCTTGTTTGGGCTTTCTTGCTAACTTGTGTGCACCAGTGAAAGCTCTTGAGCTCCCTTTGAGCTCTGGTTCCCTTCTGAGAATAACAGATGTTGAGGATTCGTAAGTACTTAATAGAGACGCGTTGGGCAATAGGTGATGAGATACAAATTAAAGTTCTGAAAATCGGAGTAAATAGATTTAAGCTAAGTGCATGTCTATGTCAGGGATTACATCTCATTTCAGAGGGAATTGAAGGATTTAGTTGGATTAGTTTTGGGACAAAATATAGAATATTTTGTCTGACTGCAGCCCCTTCTGCTCATGTACTTTTAAGGTTTGTTTTCTGTAGTTCGGAAAAATAAAAGTTTCAACCTGACATTGGAGGCCCCTGAGTACTTAATTCCCTGTAAATGGAACCCAGACCGCCCTAAATGCTTTAAGAGAGAGAAGGGCTGGCTGACACAGGGGCTTCAGACCTGCCTTAAACCAATTGGACTAGTCTCTTAATTGACTTTAGTTTGAACTTATTTCAAGCCTGTCTCACTTAGGGATTGTAATTGTTTCAGGAGTTTGGTTGAGTTCCATCTTGGTTGCCAAAGGACTTTATTCCAAAATAGCAGTCTCCAGCACAACTCAAAGGACTAGTGGAGTCCTGTGGGCATTATTTCCCCCTATGCTCCTCTCAGCTCTTGGAATCATGGGTTCTATTGCTGCTGCTTTTTCCCTCTCCCCTCATGCTGCCATTTACTGCCTTTTATTGCGTCCATAGGAAGCCTTTTGTTGGGTTGTGGGGGAAGGTGAGAGTCGGTCTTATTTACTCAGTCACACATTTATTGAGTTCCCTTGATTGCCTTTTCAGCAAACTGTTAGGCCTGTAGACCTGGACGTTGCCAAGCCAGAGGGTATAAGGTGAAGATAAGACAAGGTCTTATCATGGAGTTTGCTTAGCACGAATAGGGTGCAATTATTAACCATCATGGTGTGGTAATTATACTGATTGAATCCAAGATATAGGCATGACTTGGTCTTCACAGACCATCCTTATTGTGCACCCATATGTGGACCCCAGTTCCAGCCTGCCTGTAACCTTCCCCAAAGTCCTGCTCTTAGGTTCACTCGGGACTACCTTGATTGGAAGGCCCTGCTTCCATGAGTGACCAGCATGAAGGACTCCCAGGACAAGGACCAGAGGTGACTGGTGTTACTCTGGGGCTTAGTGCAAGACTGGAGGAAGATTTTCCTGAGCAATTAGAGAGTGGCTGTAATGGAGAGCTGGGAAGGAGATGTGGGAATGGTAGCATGGAACTAATGTGTTGTCACCATGATTTCATTTTTTCCTGGGTCATCACCCTAAAGATACTCACAAAATCCCACTAGCTGGTCTCCAGCACTGAATGAGACGACAGCTTCTTGCTCTCAATTTATATTCTAGGATCGGGGAAAGGGGCAGCATTAGACAACTAGTCACACGATTTTTAACAAAAATAAGTAATTCTAACAGGACAATGTGCAGAGGTCTAGCAAGAATTTAGAAAAGAGGGTTCTCTGGTCTAAGCTGAGAGCTATTCAGATATCTCAGAACGATGAGTTCCTTCCTGTTTGTAAGGGGTGGATGGGTGGGAGCAGGGAGTAGTGAACATTGCCAGCAGAAGAAACAGCAACTGAGAAGGTAACTAGGTGATGCTGAAGCAGCAAGGATGAAGGTGAGTGCTTTGAGATGCTTTGAATTTACATCTCAAAGACTAATAGCTAACATTTATTGAGCACTTACTGTGTCCCATGCACTGTGCTAAATAAAAACTTACCCTGTAAACTCATTTGGTCCTCACTATAATCCTGTGAGGTACATCTTGTCTGCATTTAACAGATAAAGAAATGAGGCACAGAGAGATTAGTCAATTTGCCCAACATCACCACATTGTCAGTGAGCACTGGAGGTGGGTTTTGAAACCAGGCGATCTGGCTTCAGGGTCCACATTTATAACTACTGCACTAGACTTCCAGTGCTGTGGGCCAGTAGGGAGCTAGGAGATAGACATGCTTTAAGGAAATTGCACTAGGGACAATCATGTTAGGGTTGGTGGGGTGTTGAGAGTGGATAGTTTAGAAAGCAATTGCAGCAGTTAATCCCAGCCAGTGAGAATAGTGGTGTAGAAGAGAAAGGCAGCAATGTAGATGAAGAAATGTAGATAGATTTGAGAGCTATGTAGGAGTTAAAATAGATGGGACTTATTCTCAAAAGGTTCTTGTCTCCACACGTTAAAGGAACAGCAGAGCACACGTGCACTTGCAGACATACAGCTCTCAGAGTCCCTAGCACAGAGCTTTCCAATAGTGGAAGCTTGATATTTTGTTGACTAAAGGAGTGCCACCTGGCTGACTGGCAGATTTGAATGGAGCTCCCTCCAGCATGGCTTGCCGAAGGGGCAGGGGTTCTGAGGCTCTTGTAGACTGCCACTGAAGGTATTTGGCGCCACCTGTTGGGCGTGTTACCCACGATTGCCTCCTGAATCTATTGTCATTTTTGTGTCCTGCCCCCGAGGTTAGGTGGTTCTTCCCTTCTTACTTTCCTAAACTTCAACTCTTAAAATGTGAGCCTTCATTTTTATGACCCAGAGGGTCACAAAAGAAGGAGATTAGGCCTTTTTAGTCCTTATCTCCCTTTACCTCTGAAGCATCCCATGGGGCTTCCCTAGCATTTTATTTTATATTGATTTATTTATTTATTTTTAAGAAAGAGGATTTCTGTCACCCAGGCTGGAGTGCAGTGGTGTGATCATAGCTCACTGTAGCTTCGACCTTCTGGGCTCAAGTAATGCTCTTGCCTCAGCCTCCTGAGTAGCTGGGATTACAGGCATGAGCCACCGCACCCTGCATCTCCTGACTTCTTTGACTTGACACCACTTGTTCCTAGCTCTCATACTTTTCAGACAGCCATTTCTTAGTCTGCTTCTTTAAAGTCTCTGCCTCTGCCTCCCATAATATATTGTCCCTTATGACACCTTTCTTTGTCCTCTTTTTATTTGCACAGTATTTTTAAGCAAGTTTACCCATTCCTCTGGAGGCACCTCCCACCCATAAAATCTGTGTCTCTGTTTAGACCTTGTATTAGTCCATTCTCACATGGCTATGAGGAAATACCTGAGACTAGGTGATTTATAAAGGAAAGAGGTTTAATTGACTCACAGTTCTGCATGGCTGGGGAGGCCTCAGGAAACTTACAATCATGGCGGAAGACACCTCTTCACAGGGTGGCAGGAGAATGAGTGCCAAAGTGAAGTGGGGAAGCCCCTTATAAAACCATAAGATCTCGTGAGAACTCACTATCACGAGAACAGCATGGGGGAAACTGCCCCCATATCAAACCTTGAGTCAAAGTTCCAAGTGCCTAATGCAATGCCTAATGGCAAGGTCCCATAAGCTTGTGCACACATTTTTAGAAAAGATTCTACCTTTTTCCCCAAACATGTCCCTCGCAGTGAGTTCTCTAAGTCAGCAGTCCCCAGCTTTTTTGGCACCAAGGACTGGTTTTGTGGAAGACAACTTTTCTATGGATGGAGGCGGGGAGAATGGTTTCCAGATCAAACTGTTCTACTTCAGATCACCAGGCATTAGATTCTCAAAAGGAGTTTGCAACCTTCCCTCGCATGCTCAGTTCACAATAGGGTTTGCAGTCCTGTGAGAATCTAATGCCGCTGCTGATCTGACAAGAGGCAGAGCTTGCTCGCTGCTCACCTCCTGCTGTGCACCCCAGTTCCTACCAGGCCACGGACTGGTAGTGTTCAGTGGCCCAGAGGTTGGGGGACCCCTGCTATAAGGAACAAGCACTTATATAGAGTTTACTATGTACCAGACACTTATGAGCACTTTTGCAATTTAGTCTTCATAATAATCCTAAGAGGTAGGTACTCATCACCATTTTATACATGAGGAAACAGACATTTAGTAACAGTTCTATAGCTGCCTAGTTTCTTCCCCTTATTCTCCCCCAACTCCCTGTTCAGCCATTGAGGTCTGTTGAGCCTTCCTCTGTCCCTTCTCTCAGTGCCCCTCATCAGCCTGGACTCTCACACGACTCTGTCACTAGTCCATGTCTTTCAGCTATACTGTGTTGTTTCAGGGCCCATCACTCACCTCTCCCTTCATGCCCTGCCCTATCCCCACCACACCAGTGAAGACCTCCCTTCCTGGGTTATCATCAGACCTGTCACTTGCAGTGAGGCCTCACCTCAACTAAGGAGGTCAAAATAAGAATAACCTCTCATGTGAGTAAGAGGAACTCATCATCCTTGCCAAGCTTTCCAACCAACCCCAAACTTCAAGTATTTTTGTGTCCTTGTACAGTAAGTGAATATTTCTACATAATAAAATATTTCTTTCATCTCTTTGCCAAATGAGGACATTGCTCATTTTGTCAGACAAGCTAATGTTTGATTTGAGATTGAAGGAGAAAAGGGATTTATTCTCCAGCGATAAGCATTTTTGCTGGTGTTTGACAAACAAAAAAAGAGCAGTTCTTCTATTAGCTGCCACTGTCAGACCTCATGGAGTCAGTTGCTATTCTAATTGCTGAGACTATGAGAAGGTAACACTGGTTAATTGATGAATACTTTCCCCTCTTCTGCCCCTGCAGAAGATGTGTTGGAACTGGCTTCTCTATGAAGGCAGGTTGTAGAGACAATGACAGTTCTTCCAAGAAAGACAGTTATTACCTTGTCTTCCTGCATGGTTTTGTTTCTCACCCAGAGTTCCTGCAAAAAAAAAAAAAAAAAAGAGACATTTTGCAGTTTCATCTACCGATTTTCTCCTCTCTCTCAAAAATAATGTTTTTAAAGACAGAGTCTTGCTCTGTAGCCCAGGCTTGAGTACAGTGGCACAATCTTGGCTCATTGCAACCTCTGCCTCCCAGGTTCAAGCAGTTCTCGTGCCTCAGCCTCCCAAGTAGCTGGAGACTACAGGTGTGCACCACCGCACCCAGATAATTTTTGTGTTTAGTAGAGATGGGGTTTCCCCATGTTGGCCAGTCTGGTCTCGAACTTCTGATCTCAAGTGATCCGATCCACCCGCAACTGCCTCCCCAAATGCTGGGATTACAGGCATGAGCCACCATGCCCCACCCAAAAATAATTGTTTTAAAGCAGTTCTCAAGGTTTTCTAAGTTTACTTATACTCTTTTAACTCTTAAGTAACCCCAGGTAAGTGGAAGCTGAAAAGTTACAAAATGATAGTTACAAGGGCCAAGCAGTCCTGCATCCCTGTCAGAGTGAAACTTCATTCTCTCTGATGCAAAATAAAATGATGCTTGTTCTTCCAGATCCATGGTTACCATGACATATTATTCTGTATTCTTGATTTAAGAAAGCACTGGCACTGCCCAATCTCTGTGCCCTTTGATTGCTATGTCAAGCTTCAGGTTGCACACCCTGCCTTCTGTAAGGAACTTTCCTTACTTGGCCCCCAATTCCCTGATGTCTGGTCTGTGACCTGGTGTTGAAACTGGCTATGACACTGTGCTTAGACTTCCTCTTAAAATTCTGCATTCTGTTCTGGACCTGTTTCCAACCACAATAACACAACCCACTGATTTACTGTTCTTAAATCCATCTCTGCTATTCAGGCTGATTCCCAGTGATCTCATGTCCTTCTATCACTGCCTTTGGTCTTGCAAATAGACCCTACAGAGCCCCACAACTATTTAACCAATCATTTGGCCAGGGAGTAAGGCAAGAGACAAAAATTGAGGGAAGGAGAGAATGATGAGCAACTGAGGGAGCAGCTTGGGGTTGAAAAGCTACCTCAGAAAGCAGTTCTGTGATTGGGAGGAAGGTGGCTGATGTTACTGCAGGGGGTATCAAAAGCATCTGTCCTGAACTTCAGAGTCAGGTAGAAAACAAAACAGAAAGAATCTTCTTTTCCTCTGAGTCTGGGGAAACTGAGAGAGAAGGAGAAAGCCAAGGAAAGGGAACTGACACTCACTGAGCCGTTGCTATCTGCCAGGTGTATATTGATGGGCACTTTTCATAGTCATCTTTTTTGGTCCACATGACGTTCCTACCACACATATGTTATTATTTTTATTTTAGAGAGGAGGAAACTCTAAGTTAATGTGCATAAGATCACAGAGCTAGTGAGACAAGATAAGGCTAATTTCAAAGTTTATATCTTTACATACCAAACATTTCTAGTTATATTCTAGATATAAGCAAACAAGGAATTCAGAAGTAAAACTTAGCAAAAACTTCCAGATATTGTTAACTCCACCAACCTGAGCTAAAGAATGAGGCTAGAGATGAACACACACACACATGCATGCACACACATACACACAGTCACACACACACCTCAATCTTTTTAGAACTTTATTTATTTATTTATTTATTTATTTATTTATTTATTTATTTTGAGACACAGTCTTGCTCTGTCGCCTAGGCTGGAGTGCAGTGGCACGATCTCGGCTCACTGCAACCTCCACCTCCTGGGTTCAAGCAATTCTCCTGCTTCAGCCTCCCAAGTAGCTGGGATTACAGGCACCTGCCACCATGCTGGACTAATTTTTGTATTTTTAGTAGAGACGGGTTTTCGCCATGTTGGCCAGGCTGGTCTCAAACTCCTGGCCTCAAGCGATCCGCCCATCTCGGCCTCCCAAAGTGCTGGGATTACAGGCATGACCCACCAGGCCGAGCCTAGAATTTTATTTTTATTATTTTTATTTCGATAGCTTTAGGAGTACAGGTGGCTTTTATTTACATGGATGAATTGTATAGTGGTGAAGTCTGGGCTTTTAGTGTACCCATTACCCAATAGTGTATATTGTACTCAGTAAATAATTTTTCATCCTTCACCCCACTCCCCACTTCTGTGTCTCCAATGTCCGTTATACTACTCTGTATGGCTTTGCATACCCATAGCTTAGCTCCTACTTACAAGTGAGTGTTAAATTAGGTTTAGCCTAAAGCTGCTTCCTTACATGTTTTAAGTTCAGCCTAAAGGTTTCTCCATACATAGTAAACTGAAACCTAACTTGATGTGTAATCAGACTGAAACCTACTCTAGTGCCAATCACTGAGTTTTGGCCAATCAAAGGTGATCAACTGTTCAAACTGTGTTCAAATAAGACAAATGCCAAGCTTCAACCAATCCTGCTGTTTCTGTACCTCATGTCTGTTTTCTGTACATCACTTTACTTTTTCTGTTCATAAATATTCCACCACTTGGCTGTTCTGGAGTCTCTCAGCCTACTCTGGCTCAGAAGGCTCCCCAATTCACAAATTGTTCTTTGCTCAATTAAACTCTGTTGAATTTCATTCGTCTAAGGTTTTTTTTCTTTAACAATGAGAACACGTAGTACTTGGTTTTCTGTTCCTGAGTTACTTCACTTAGGAAAATGGTCCAGTTCCATCCAAGTTGCTGGAAAATATATTATTTCATTCTTTTTTATGGATGAGTACGATTTCATGGTATATACACATCACATTTTCTTATCCACTCATCAGTTTATGGGCACTTAGGTTGATTCCATACCTCTGCAATTGTGAATTCTATGTCTTTTTGATATAATGACTTCTTTTCTTTTGGGTAGATACCCAGGAGTGGGACTGCTAGATCAAATGGTAGAACTACTTTTAGTTCTTTGAGAAATCTCCATAGTGTTTTCCACAGAGGTTGTACTAATTTACATTCCCACCAGCAATGTATAAGCTATCCCTTTTCACTGCATCCTTGCCAACATCTATTGCTTTTTGACTTTTTAATATCAATGATACTGGCTGGGATAAGGTAGTATCTCATTGTGGTTTTAATTTGCATTTCCAGGCTGGGCGCGATGGCTCACGCCTGTAATCCCAGCACTTTGGGAGGCTGAGGTGGGAGTTCAAGACCAGCCTGACCAACATGGAGAAACCCCATCTCTACTAAAAATACAAAATTAGCTGGGCATGGTGGCGCATGCCTGTAATCCCAGCTACTCGGGAGGCTGAGGCAGGAGAACCACTTGAACCCAGGAGGCGGAGGCTGCAGTGAGCCAAGATCGCACCACTGCGCTCCAGCCTGGGCAACAAGAGCGAAACTCTGTCTCAAAAAAAAAAAAAAAAAATTGCATTTCCCTGATGATAGTGATGTTGAACATTTTTACATATGTTTCTGGACATTTGTATATCTTCTTTTGAGAAATGTCTGTCAATGTCGTTTGCTCACTTTTTAATGGGATTATTTATTTGGTTTTTTTTTTCTCTCATTTGTTTGAGCTCCTTCTAGATTCTGGATATTAGTCCTTTGTCAGATATTTGCAAATATTTTCTCTCATTCTGTGGTTGTCTGTTTAACTCTTGATTATTTCCTCTGCTGTGCAGAAGCTTTTTAGTTTAATTAGGTAGGTCCTATTTATTTATTTTTGCTTCTGTTGGATTTGTTTTTGAGGTCCTATTCATAAATTCTTTGCCTAGGCCAATATTCATAAGAGTTTTTCCAAGGTTTCTTCCAGAATTTTTATGATCACAGGTCTTAGATTTAAGTCGTTAATCTATCTTGAGTTAATTTTCGTATATGTTGAGAAACAGGGATCTGGTTTCGTTTTATTATTTTTATTTTTATTTTTTTTTGAGATGGAGTCTTGTTTGTCACCCAGGCTAGAGTGCAATGGTACGGTCTCGGCTCACTGCAACCTCCACCTCCTGGGTTCAAGTGATTCTCCTGCCTCAGCCTCCCAAGTAGCCAGGACTACAGGTGCACGCCACCACTCCTGGCAAAATCTTGTATTTTTTAGTAGAGACAGGGTTTCACTATGTTGGCCAGGCTGATCTCAAACTCCTGACCTCATGATCCACCCACCTCAGCCTCCCAAAATGCTGGGATTACAGGCGTGAGCCACCACGCTCGGCCCTAGTTTCGTTCTTCTACCTGTGTCAATCCAATTTTCCCAGCACTATCTATTGAATAGGGTGTCCTTTCTTCAGTGTATTGTTTTGTCTGCTTCGTTGAAGATTAGTTGGTTGTAGGTATTTGGTTTTATTTCTGGGTTCTCTATTCTGTTCCATTGATCTACTGTGTACTTTTATACCGGTACCATGCTGTTTTGGTTACTCTAGCCTTGTAGTGTAATTTGAAGTTGGGTAATGTGATGCCTCCAGATTTATTCTTTTTGTTTAGGATTGCTTTGGCTATCCAGGCTTTTTTTGTTGTTGTTCCATATGAATTTTAGGATTGCTTTTTCTAATTCTGTGAAAAATGATGCTGATATTTTGATAGGAATTGCATTAAACCTGTAGATTGCTTTGGGCAGTATGGTCATTTTTCATATTGATTCTTCCAATCTATGAGCATGGCATGGTTTTCCATTTGTTTGTGTCATCTATGATTTCTTTCATCAGTGTTTTGTAGTTCTCATTAGGGAGATCTTTCACCTCCTTGGTTAAGTATATTCCTAGACATTTACAATTTTTTTTGTAGCTATTGCAAGTGAGATTGAGTTCTTGATTTGATTGTCAGGTTGGTCGTTATTGGTATAGAGCTGTGTTATTGATTTGTGTATGTTGATTTTGTAACCTGAGACTTTACTGAATTCATTTATCAAATCTAAGAGTCTTTTGGAGGAGTCTTTAGCGTTTTCTAGGTATAAGATTATGTTATTGGCAAACAGAGATAATTTGACTTCCTCTTTTCCAATTTGGGTGTGCTTTCCCTTGTCTGTTTTCTCTGGCTAGGACTTCCAGTACTATGATGAATAGGAGTGGTGAAGGTGGGCATCTTTGTCTTGTCCAGTTCTTAGGGGGACTGGACAAGTTCCCCTGGACAGTTTTTGTTTTTTTGTGTGTGTGAGACGGAGTCTCACTCTGTCACCCAGACTGGAGTGCAGTGGTGCGACCTCAGCTCCCTGCAACCCCTGCCTCCGAGGTTCAAGCAATTCTCCTGCCTCAGCCTCCCAAGTAGCTGGGACTACAGGCATGCAGTCCCACCATGCCTAGCTAATTTTTTTTTTTTTTTTTTTTTTTTTTTAGTAGAGATGAGGTTTCACTATTGTTGACCAGACTGGTGTCGAACTCCTGACCTCAGGTGAATTGCCCACCTTGGCCTCCCAAACTGCTGGCATTATAGGCGTGAGCCACTGTGCCCGGCCGGCTTTCAACTTTCATCCATTCAGTATGATATTGGCTGTGTGTTTATCATATCTGACTTTTATAATTTTGAGGTTTGTTCCTTCTATGCCTAGTTTGTTGAAATTTTTTATTATAAAGGGATACTGGATTTTACCAAATGCTTTTTATGCATTGATTGAAATGATCATATGACTTCGTTTTAAATTCTGTTTATGTGGTGAATCACATTTATTGACTTGCATATGTTGAACCATCCTTGCCTCCCTATGATGAAACCCACTTGATCATGGTGATTTATCATTTTGATGTGCTGATGGATTTGGTTTGTTAATATTCTGTTGAAGATTTTTGCATCTATGTTCATCAGGAATATTGTTCTGTAGTTTTCCTTTTTGTTGTGTTCTTTCCTGGCTTTGGCATCAGGTAACACTGGCTTCACAGAATGAGTTGGGGAGGATTCTCTCTTTCTTAATCTTTTGGAATAGTTTCAATAGGATTGGTACCAGTTCTTCTTTGAACATCTGGTAGAATTCAGCTGTGAATCTGGTCCTGGGCCTTTTTTTTTTTTTAAAAGATTTTTTATTACTGATTCAATATCAGTACTTGTTACTGGTTTGTTCAGGATTTCTATTTGTTCCTGATTCAAGCTTAGAGGGTTGTATGCTTCCAGGAGTTCATTCATTTCCTCTAGGTTTGTTCAGGATTTCTATTTCTTCCTGATTCAAGTTTAGAGGAATGCTTCCAGGAATTCATTCATTTCCTCTAGATTTTATAGTTTGTGTGCGTAGAGGTGTTTATAGTATTCTTAGATGATCTTTTGTATTTCTATAGTGTCAGTTGTAATGTCTCCATTTTCTTCTATGTTCTTAAATGCAGCTTCTACACAAGATTCCTGCATACTGTAGAAAATTTTATTTTTTTCACCAAGCCCAATTAATTTAGCTTAGCTGGAGAACTATTAAGAAGTGTGAAGACACAAATAAGAAACGAACGACTTCATTCCATAAATATAAGTAAAGGAAATTCCAGTGATGGCTTTTGCTGCACGAAGAGAAACCAGGCTAAGTTGAACTATTAATATTCGCTTTAGACTGCGTAATTTCTAAATGGTAACTATTCATACCTACCATTCATCCTAACCATACCTTCAGGCTTGGCTTAGACACTGGGACCTTTGTGAAGGAAGAGAGGCCTGAGGGAACTGGATTGTAGGAGATGGATGGTGAGAGGAAAGCTGGGGGTAAGGGTAGGCGTGCGTCTGGGCTTGCGTTGACTACATAAGAAGGAGATTTAAAAACTATAAAGACTTTTTAAGATTTTGGAAACTTAGTACCTTCTTCATTTTTACTTTTTTTTTTTTTTGTTTTTTTTTTTTGTTTTTTTTTTTGAAATGGAGTCTCGCTTTGTCGCCCAGGCTGGAGTGCAGTGGCGGGATCTCAGCTCACTGCAAGCTCCGCCTCTCGGGTTCACGCCATTCTCCTGCCTCAGCCTCCCGAGTAGCTGAGACTACAGGCGCCCGCCACCACGCCCGGCTAATTTTTTGTATTTTTAATAGAGACGGGGTTTCACCGTGTTAGCCAGGATGGTCTCGATCTCCTGACCTCGTGATCCGCCCGCCTCGGCCTCCCAAAGTGCTGGGATTACAGGCGTGAACCACTGCGCCCGGCCCATTTTTACTATTTTTTATTCCTCTTTTCTGTTTTCTGATTGGGATTGGCAATAAAATCTCAAATATGGGGAAAATAATTTTTTACATAACATTTTTATGTTTTATAATTTTATATAACATTTTAATGTTTTATAATTTTTTATATAACATTTTAATGTCTTATAAAAACAAAATTATATGACATTTTTCTAGGTGAACTTATTCTTGGTGTTCCTGGGATGTCTATAGACAATGTTACAGTAACTTTTGACTACAGATCATTTTTTTCAAATGATATAATATTGATAAAGTAATTGTAGGGCTCCCAAAATAAAATGAGTTGGTTTTGAGCCTATGGATGAGAAATCTGCTGGGGAAATGGTCAAATTTTATGTCTGTATTTAATAGCCATGTAGTGGAACAAAAATTTAAAGGCATTACATCATGTTTATTTTATTTTAATTAAAACAAAAGAACAACCCATTTACATTATTTATTTAAATTATAAAATATTACAGAACAGGCTGGGAGCGGTGGCTCATGCCTGTAATCCCAGCACTTTAGGAGGCTGAGGTGGGTGGATCACCTGAGGTCAGGAGATCGAGACCAGCCTGGCCAACCTGGTGAAACCCTGCCTCTACTAAAAATACAAAAATTAGTTGGGCGTGGTCGTGGGCGCCTGTAATCCCAGCTACTCGGGAGACTGAGGCAGGAGAATCACCTGAACCCAGGAGGTGGAGGGTGCAGTGAGCTGAGATTGCACCATTGCACTCCAGCCTGGGCAACAGAGCGAGACTCTGTCTCAAAAAAAAAAAAAAGTTATTCAATTGGTGACATACATCAACTTGTGAGTTCAGGAATCTAGTGCTCTCTCCTTTAATTTCCTGCTATTTTCAAGTATAATAAAGCATTACACACACACACACACACACACACACACACACACACACACCTCTTTAATTGTGAAAATTTCCAAACCTGCAGAAAACTTGGAAAAAATAAAATAATACTTGAAAGCTGCTATGGTTTGAATGTGTCTCCCAAAGTTACTAGGCTCTTCCTTTTGCTAGAGCTAGGACATATATATTAGTAAATCATTAGTTAAAACTGACATTTCTAGTTCAAAATATTTTTCTAGTTCAAATTTAATATTATTG
Organism: Homo sapiens; assembly: GCF_000001405.40. Classification (NCBI taxonomy): domain Eukaryota; kingdom Metazoa; phylum Chordata; class Mammalia; order Primates; family Hominidae; genus Homo; species Homo sapiens. Next base: position 4,238,941 of record NT_167245.2, read on the forward strand.
TTTTAATTCAACTACGTTTACTTGCTTTTCATACATTAAAAATCTCAGTTCTGAATTACATGAACATAATCACTGATTTGCTTTATTTTATACATAACATAAAGTTGTTATATATTAAAACATTGGAAACTTAATCCCCAATGCAACAACGTTGAGAAGTGGGACCTTTAAAATACGATTAGGTCATCTCTTAAAGAGATGGGCAGAGCCCTCATAAAGGGCTTAATGCCATCATCTCTAGAGTGGATTAGTTATCTCATCTCAGGAGTGAATTCCTGATGAAAGGATGAGTTTGACTCCTTTCCTCTCCTTCATCCTTTCTCTCCTCCTTTTTTCTTCTGCCTTTTTTCTTCATCACAGCAAGAAAGCCCTTGCCAGATGTTGGCACCTGACATTAGGCTTCCCAGCCTCCAGAACTGTGAGAAACAAATTTCTTTCTTTTCTTTTTTTTTTTTTTTTTTTTTTTTGGTAAATTACCTAGTCTGTGGTATTCTGTTATGGCAACACAAAATGGACTAAGACAAATACCCATCATATAGATTCAACAACTGTCAAGATTTTGCTGTGTTTGTTTGAACTGTGTGTGTATTCTGAATTCATTCCGAAGTAAATTAGAGATCTAGCATTTCATCCCTAAATACTTTAGCATAAAGATGACTTGATACATAACCGTGGTACTGTAATCATACTAAACAAAACTGAAAACAGCTCTCTAATATCATCGATTACCAGTTCATATTCAAATTTCCCCATTTGTCTGAAAAGTGCTTTTATATCTGTTTTTCCTCAAAGATATTGCCAAGAATCATTCACTAAATTTGATTGTAATGTCTCTTAATTCCCACTATTCCACCCATTTTTTAAACAGCATCTTTTTAGAGAGACAAGGCCAGTAGAATCTCTCACATTTTGAATTTGTGTGATTGGTTCTTTGTGGTTTCATTTGACTTATTCCTCTATCCAATGTATTTTTTTTATAGACTAGAACTTTTTGAAACAAAGGCTTGACTAGATTTTAGATGAAAGATTTTTGACAATAATTCTTCATAGGTATTGCTGTGTACTTTGCATTTCATCTTATTAGGAAGTATATGCTTAATGTCTTGTCCTATTATTGGTGAGGCTAAACTTGATCACTCAGTCGAGGTGATGACAGCCATCACCTCTGTAAAGGTATTTCTCCCATTTGACAATAGCAAATAATCTATGACCATGATACTTTGGCATGATGTGACTCTCTTGTTCCTCACTGTCTATTCTCCTAATGGTTTTAACATATATGATGCCTTCCCTGAATCAATGATCACATTAGGCTTACAAAATGCTGGTTTTCTAATTCTGTTATTTTTCCCAACATTTATTCACTGGTACTCTGAAGGGTAGACCTTTTTTCATCAGTGGAACATTTCCTTGTGAAATGTCAGGATATATACTTGTTTTCTTTAAGCACCAATTTCCTGTGTTATGAATTGGAAGATCACATCCAGTGGTAATATCAATGGGTTGTTGTTGCTTACTTTTTAAAATCTGTATTCGACTATTAATAGGAACCCATGGATTTTTATATACTCAATGTGTTTAATTATATTATAGTCATCTTTTTGATGTCTGAGTTGTTCCAGTTTTGGCCAATGGAAGCTCCTTCAAACTGGCTGACCTGTTTTTTTGACATGACTCTATTAGTCTTTGAACAGTGCCTTGTTTTATGAAAACAATGAGATACTCACACTTGCTTTGTATTTTCCATAACTCAGGCCTGGAACTGGTCACTTCTCCAAGAAGCTCTATTTCCTTTGAGTGGGAAATGATATTTACACACTACAATCTGTGCATTGAGGATGCTCATTGCTACAGGGCTACTATTAGGCTCTTTCATTTGCTAGAGCAGGGACATATATGTTAGTGAATCATTAGTTAAAATTGACAGTTCTAGTTCAAATATTTTTTCTAATATTATTATTTTAATTCAGCTACTTTTACTTGCTTTTTATACATGAAAATCTTAGTTCTTTTTTTTTTTTTTTTTTTTTCTTTGAGATGGAGTCTCTCCCTGTTGCCCAGGCTGGAGTGCAATGGTGCAATCTCCGCTGACCTCAACCTCTGCCTCCCAGGTTCAAACAATTCTCCTGCCTCAGCCGCCCGAGTACCTGGGATAACAGGCGCCCGCCACCACACCCAGCTGATTTTTTGTGTGTTTTCAGTAGAGACGGGGTTTCACTGTGTTGGCCAGGCTGGTCTTGAATGCCTGACCTTGTGATCCGCCCGCCTTGGCCTCCCAAAATGTTGGGATTACAGGGATGAGCCACTGCCCCCGGCCTAAAAATCTTAGTTCTTAATTATATTAACATAATCACTGATTTGCTTTATTTTATATATAGTATAGTTTCAAATAAGGATACAAATATTACTTAACCATAAAACAACTGAATGATGTTCAAAGTTCTGATAGTTCTTTTTGTCCTTAGAATATATTCTATTAAGTCAGCTGGGGCAACATAATGAGACCCCATTTCTATTTAAAACATGTATTTTAATTAACTGGGTATGGTGGCATGTTCCTGAAGTCCCAGCTACTGTACTTGGGAGACCGAGGTGGGAGGATCACGTGAGCCCAGGAATTTGAGGGTGCACTGAGCTATAATCACACCAGCGCACTCCAGCACTCCAGCCTTGGCTGGCAACAGAGCAAGACCCTGTCTAAAAAAACAACAAACAACAAACAACAACAACAACAAAAAATAGAGAGAGAAGAGAGAGAGTAAGTGTATTCCACCAAGAACATACAGTAGTATCTTTTAATATCACTTGGGATACTTATTTTTTCTGTGTGGTTCAGTTCTATTTGTTTTAAATTTTAGAGGTTTTTGTCAATTTTTTATTAACATTGTAAATTATTTATACGTTTCAAAGGTCAATATTCACTTCTCACTTCTATTCTCCCTTCCTTCCTAAAAGTAGCCATTTTTATTAATTTCTTGTTTATCCTTCCAATGCAGCTTTTTTCCCCCTTTGGAGACATGGTCTCACTCTGTTGCCCAAGCTGGAGTGCAGTGGCACCATCATAACTCACTATAGCCTCGAACTCCTAGGCTCAAATGATCCTCTTGCTTCAGCGTCCTGAGTAGTTAGGACTACAGGGGGTACCACCATGCCTGGCTAATTTTTTTATTTTATGTAGAGACAGAGTCTTGCTATGTTGGCCAGGCTGGTGTTAAATTCCTGACCTCAAGTGATCCTCCCACTTCATCCTCCCAAAGTGTGGGGATTATAGGCACAAGCCACCACATCTGACCCAATCCACCTTTTTGAAAAAATATGTATCTTTCCTCTTTCTTACCCCAAAGGCAGTACATAGTTTAATCATTGTATTGCACTGTGAATTTTCCACTCTAACCTAGAGATTCCTCCGTATTAGTTCAAAGAGATCTTTCTCATTCCTTTTCGTTAGACTTTTTCCTTTAATTGATACATGATATTTTACATATTTTATTTATGAGGTACATGTGAGTATCTGTTACATGCATACAATGAGACTAATGATCAAGTCAGGTATTTGGGGTATCCTTCACCTTGAGCATTTATCATTTCTATGTGTTGGCAACATCTCAAGTCCTCTCTTCTAGCTACTTTGAAATATACTATATATATATATATATATATATATATATATATATATATATATATATATATATATATATTGTTGCTGACTACAGTCACCCCAGTCTGCTATCAAACATTGGAACTTATTTTTTCTATCTCCTCATTCTTTTTAACAGCTTTGCATTACTCCATTGTGCAGATGTACTATAATTTTTTCAACTATTGTACTCTTACTAGGCATGTTTCCAATAATTTTCAATTGTTACAAATAATGACATATCATTTTTAAAAGGCAGATTACTATATAATAAAGATACATACTTCACTTTGGGAGGCCAAGGCGGACGGATCACAAGGTCAGGAGTTCGAGACCAGCCTGGCCAATATGGTGAAACCCTATCTCTACTAAAAATACAAAAATTAGCTGGGTGCGGTGGTGAATGCCTGTAGTCCCAGCTGCTCGGTAGGCTGAGGCAGGAGAATCACTTGAACCCAGCAGGCGGAGGTTGCAGTGAGCTGAGATGGCACCACTGCACTCCAGCCTGGGCAACAGAGCAAGACTCTGTCTCAAAAAAAACAAAAAACAAAAAGATACATATTTAAGTTTGGCATTTCCTTACATGTATTAAAATATGTTTTAACAGAAAAATATTACTTCTATTGATTTGTTTTTGGTTAGGTTATTAACACTCTCCTAAACACTTCGGTTTCATGCAACAATTTAGGAAATATCTGGTGTGCTTCTTAGTGAATGTGGAGATACTGGATTTGACAAATATCAGTTGGTTAGACTAGTGTTTGGCACATTGGAAGTGCTCAATAATAATAGTCAATACTATTATGAAAGATAATAGTATTAACAAAACAATACTTGTTAATATCAGAAAAACAAATTTTAATTTATTTTTCTTTATGCGGACATGTCATCAGGGAATTTGAGAGCAGGGTGACTACATTTTGTTTTAGTCAGCTGGGGCTTTAAACATTTATTGAGTAACCACCATGTTTCAGGCATTACAGTAAGAACTTGTACCTGAAGCAGATCCATATACTGAAGGCCCGAGGAAAGGAATAAAGGGCAACTGGGAACCTGACCAGGTCTCAAGAGCGGTGTTGGGACTCTAGGGAGGAGGCAGCAGAACGTTTCCAGTGGACGGAAGTGCCGGGGAGTCCACCTTGGGAGACCTTAGGCTTACTCAGATTTGGAGGCTCCAGGTGGGGTGGATGCAAACCACAAGATGGAGCCAAATTACAAGTCATAGGTAGCAACCTCCTAAACCACAAGGAGGAGAGGAGAGGAAGTGAAGTCGCTCCTCTGCGTGCACGATCACTTGTCTGGAAGCTTTTCTGAAGTCAGAGAGAAAGGAAAGCCTGAGAAGTGGGACATCATTCATTGAAAGGCATCTGTGTGTAGAGATAAATAGGGTAACATGATAGGGAGAGATTGGAGATAGGTGGTTTATTTAGCAAAGTTGGTCAATGAAGCTTCTCTGAATTGGTGCCACACGAGTTGTGAATGGGTGATGAATTGGAGGCATTAATGTTAAGGAGAATTCTGGGGAAGATAGTGTGGCTATTGCTTAATGAAAGAAGGAAGAGTAGAGGGAAGTAAAGATGAAGACACATGCAGCGCCAGATCATATAGAGTCTTGTTGACCAGGAGGGAATTTAGACTAAGCAAGAAAGAAAGTCTGAACTGGGGGAGTGCTTCGACTGATCCAGGAGGGAGAAGAAAATCTCTTCAGTAATTCCATCCCCAGTCATTCTTCAAGCTCACCTCATTCCCTGCAGCCTGTTGCTGCTGAAGCCTCAGAAGAAGTTTGTTCCCAAAGTTGGGAATACCTCCTCCTACACATTTCCTAGTAATGCTGATGTCTGACCCTGTTCATCCTGCCTCATGTCTCACAAGCTGGTCTCCATTCGCTGCTGAGTAGGACAGTGCAGTGGAAAGAACATGGGCTCTAGCATCACACAGACCTTCCAACCACCTCCTAGCTGTTTGACCTTGGGCAAGTTAGGTAATTTGAATCCTAGCTTCCTTCTTTATAAAATGAAATCATTATACTTAACTTGCAGATTGGTCATAAGGAAGAAATGAAATAATTCATGTATGGCAGAATGATGCTTTTCTTTTTCCTTTGTTTGTATTTAGGTTTGTCACACAAGACAATAGCACATGTCACCGCCAAGGCCTTTCCTCTTCTGGCTTTGGATTTCCCAAAATCTGAAGCTCACTTGACATTATGCCAGGTGTCCCAGACATTGTGCCAGAGAGAGAGAGGGGAATGCCTTTGACAGGCAAAGGGGGAAGGTTCTCCCAAACTGAGGAAGGCACAGTGGCCTGTGGGTCTGAAAGAGCCCTGCTTCCTTGCAGCAGCCAAGGCAGGTGGGGAGGCCTCCCAGGGACGGGGAAGTTGGCCGTATGGTGCATCTTTGCAGTCCTGCTCCCAGGCACTGGGGATCACTCCTCACTAAAGATTCCCCTGCCCCAAGCCTAGTGCAGAAGCAGCAGAGCTTCCACTTGGAAAAGAGCATACAGGTTAAGCCCTAGGCATGCTTGGAGTAAACAGTCTGGACTGGAGAAGACAACAGGGGCTTCTCCAAGGCCTCAGCACTGTGTCAGGGCGCAGACCCTTGGAACAACTGTAAGAGACCAGAAGCCCCAATAAAGACAGATTGAACTTAAAACCAGCCTCATGGCAGGGGTTTTGAATCAGATTTAAGATTTTTTAAAGAGCAGGTTTTGAATCAGATTTTCGATTATTTAAAGACATTTACTATTTTTTGCACTCTGTGCACTATCTTATTAATCTTTTGGACCAAGATTCAAATCCACTACACGTGAAAAGCATTAAGGCCAGGCACATTGCATGTGTTGGGTAAACGGTAGCCAATGTTATTAAAACCAGCTGCAGACAGTCGGACCAGGCTGGATTTGAAGCAAACAAAATTGAATTAAATAGAATTCTACAGTGTTTCAATGCCCATTATGTTCTGGGTGTTGGAACTATAAGACACAGCCTTCTCTTGCTTTAGAGGAGCAGTTAGTGGCAAAGGCAAATTCATACACAGTCAACTGACACAGGGCGGAATGTGGTATGCACTGCAGGGACAGGGTGGCCAGCATATTGGGGGCTGGGATTGAAAATGCTTCACAGAAGAGGTGACATTTAATCTGGACCCTGGAAGGACAGGTAGAATTTTGACTGGTTGGTGGAGGAAGGCAGGTCCAGCACAGAGAATAGTTTGTGCAAAGGCAGGGAGGAGTAAACATGCGACAACAGTTTTCTGTGACTTAAGCATTGATCATTTTCAGGAGGAGCTATTATATGGTTAAAATAGGCCAGGTGCGGTGGCTCATGCCTGTAATCCCAGCACTTTGGGAGGCCAAGGCAGGCGGAGCACCTGAGGTCAGAAGTTCGAGACCAGCCTGGCCAACATGGTGAAACCCGGTCTCTACTAAAAATAATAAAATTAGCCGGGCATGGTGGGGGGTGCCTGTAATTCCAGCTACTCAGGAGGGTGAGGCAGGAGAATTGCTTGAACCTGGGAGACAGAGGTTGCAGTGAGCTGAGATTGCACCACTGCACTCCAGCTTGGGTAACAGAGTGAGACTCTACCTCAAAAAAAAAAAAAAAGAAAAGAAAAAAAGAAAAAGAAATACCCTGAGGACGGTTTGAGAAGGGTCTTCATCTTGTAGGTAATGGAGCACCTATAAGAATTTAAAGGAGGAAGGGAAAAAGCAGATATCCTATAAGCTTCTGAGAGAAAAAAACAACAACGATTACGTACAAAGTTTCATGACACAATATCTTTTGGATTATCAACAATAACGCAGGAAGCTAAGGGATTATAGAGAAATGCCTTAAAAATTCTGATGGAAATGATTTCCAATCTTGAATTTTATAACCGTGGAAGCTATTATTCAAGTGTGAGAGTAGAATAAATATATTTTCCGACATACGAAGCATAAAAAGTTTTCCTCATATGCACTGTTTCTCAGGAAGTGGAAAGAAGAGGTGCCTCATTAAAATAAGGCAGACCACAAAAGGGCAATGACTGGATACAAGAAGCAGAAGATCCAACTCGGAGGATAGGTAAATCCTGACGAGGATGGCGAAGAGTGATCTCAGAGTGACCGCTGTATCATCAAGGGCAAGGAGTTAAGAATGGAGCAGACAGAAGGTTCTGGGAGAGTTATATCTGGTGATAAAATTGACAGAATACCTGATGTGTTTGATTGTACTGTGAGGAATTTTGTGATTCATTAATAATAAGTACAAATACAGCCACACAAAGGAAAACAGGACAACTATATACTCCAGAGAAAACGAAGTCGTCTAGAAAAGGAAGAGTGAGCATGGCTTGCTCTATGGTTTGCCATTACATGGTCATATTGATAGAAACATAGTAAACACAGTAACTTTTACTATATTGTAAAAATTACAATATAGTCACATTAAAAGAAAGGGCATGGGAAAGGGGGCATGATGTTCTTTGAGGATGAAAAAAATCTAAATCCCCCTCTTCCACAGCAGGAGGTAAAGAGATAAAGCCTAAAGCTGAAAAATCTAGATGTAGCAACACAAACATGTTATTTAGAGATGGGAGGTTAATACCAACAAAACATATTAGAACAATTGAAAGTTATTTTCTGTAAGGGTGAGGATATGGTGGGAGATGGGGCTGGAAACTGGTATTTCTGTAGCAAATATTGTAGAAATATTTGACTCTTTAAACTATAACATAATTTGGTTAAAAATTAAAACCGAAAGAGAGTGGATGGGAAGAGGGGATCTGGAGGCAGTCCACGTAGACACTCTCAGAGAGCGTGACCAGGAGCTTGGGTGGAAGGGAGACTGGGTCAAGGACAGACAGAGGATTTGATGTTCTTGTTATATAGGAGAGATGACATGCTTATGATTTGTAGGGTGACCCTGCAAAAAGGGAGAGTTTGGATACAAAGGACAGGAGACTACTGGATGTCTGTTCTAAAAGAGAGTGAAAGATCAAGAATGCAGGAGGACAACTTGTTTTTTAAAATAAAAGACTACGTACCTTGAGACTAGAAACAAATGTGAGTATACACGCAGGTGCATAAATCTAAAAGCTCTGGAATTACTCCTAGAAGTTCCAGTGACTTCAGGGTAGTATATGCAACAGTAAAAAAAAAGCATATTTCTTTAGTCAAAAGAACACAATTTTAATGACTTTATCAAGCCTTAGGACAGAGATGAGAGAAACACCTTTCCAATGATGCATCAAGTTAACGTCTAAGCAAAAGATCAGCAGAGATCAGAGATTGTTGGGTACACACGTATCTTGTGATGTCTTCTGAGAACCAACTTATTCCTCTTTCTCTGAGAAGAACTTGACCCCTCGCCCCGGGGCTGAGTGCTTGGCAGCCACATTTGTGTTGAGATCTTGATTCCTGCTCTAACTACACAGGGCTGGGATGGACACCTGCTCCAAGTTTGGCCAGTCATTTATTTTTCCAGTAATTTAAAGCTGTGACTAGGAGACACAGCCTCTGTGGGTTGTGAGGGTTGAGATGATATAAACTCAGGAGCTGTCGGGTGGACATGTTCACTGAGAAGGACAGTCAGTCCACAGAGAGAGAACACCGCTAACATGCAGGGGGGTCTAGAGAACACAGACCATGTGGATCCGAGAGTGTTGGAGGGGCAGCTCTAGCTTCTCTGGGCTTTTCGGATCCGAGTTCTGTTCCTGGGAGGCCTGGCTAAAATCTACCCTTGGGCCCTGCACTCCTCCCCATGGCTATATTGCAAATATCCTATACTTTGCATGTGATCACACAAAGAGGGTTTCTGTTACTGGCACACAAAAAGTTTGCCTGAGATGATTCTCCTCCACTTCCATCAGGGTCTTCTGGTCATTGATTTCAACTTATTCTCTCTTAAGAAGCCCATTGAGTCCCCATAATCTCTTGGTTTCTTTCTTTTCCAGGACCAACTGCTCACAGTTCAAACCCTCATTTTGCCTCTATTTACTTGTACCTTGATTGGCTGATGCCCTAACAGACCCAGGTTCTTCAGAAAGCCTTCCTAGTCCACCTCAGACCTTGGGGATCCCCCTTTCCCATGACCCCCGATGGCACCTGATTACGTCACTGGGTTCCAGTTACCAGACCACAGCCAAGGTCCAGGATGGCTGCATCAGAGTCATCCAGAGCCGGTTAAAAATGACAGCCTCGGCTGGGCACAGTGGCTAATGCCTGTAATTCCAGTACTTTGGGAGGGAAGGTGGGTGGATCACGAGGTCAAGAGATGGAGGCCATCCTGGCCAACATGATGAAACCCCGTCTCTACTTAAAATACAAAAATTAGCTGAGTGTAGTGGCGCACACCTGTAGTCCCAGCTACTCAGGAGGCTGAGGCAGGAGAATGGCTTGAACTCAGGAGGTGGAGGTTGCAGTGAGCTGAGATCATGCCATGGCACTCCAGCCTGGTGACAGAGTGAGACCCCTTCTCAGAAAAGACAGCCCCCCTGTTGCTGCCCCCTGCACTCCCGAGATTCTAATTCAGTAGGTCTGGGTGATGACTGTTATTTTTATATTTTATTTATTTATTTATTTAGAGACAGGGTCTCACTCTGTCACCTAGGCTGGAGTGCAGTGGCGCAATCTTGGCTCACTGCAGCCTTGAACTCCTGGGCTCAAGCACTCCTCCGGCCTCAGCCTCCCCAGTGGCTGGGAATACAGGTGCGAGCCACCATGCCTGGTTAATTTTTAAATCTTTCTTTGTAGAGATGGGGTCTCTCTATGTAGCCCAAGATGGTTTCCACCTCTTGGCCTCAAGCAGTCCTGTCCCCTTGGCCTCCCAAAGTGCTGGGATTACAGGAATGAGCCACTGCACCAGGCCAATGCCTGTACTTTTAAAAGGATCCCAAGCAGTTCTTATGTGCATTCTGGTTTGAAAACCGTAATCTGTATTGCTCATTTTGGTCTTGACATAAACTATGTGGTATGGTGATTTATCTCTTTGTATGTTTTAAATTCTGTTCACAGAAAAGTAGACCAAAATCTTCTAGGCCACATATTTAGAGTGTGTCTAGGTGGACCTCCCCTCTTACGAGATACCTTGCAGACCGACTCTACCACCTCCTACCTAACATGACTGACTCCACTGAGGGAAGTGGCCACCTTATCCAAGCCTTGGGCCTCTCTTTATCATGCATGGGACTCTAGGGAAAGTAGAAAAAGGAGATAACATCATGGCAGGATACCAGTGGCCTCTTCATACAGAGTAAACCCAGGCAGGAGTGGAGTCCCCATGAGCCTGTCTTGTCCCAGCACCCTTCAGAACTGTTGTTAGCTGAGGGGGTCGTGAGGAACAGGATAATCTGCATCCCTTTCAGGGTAAACCTGAACTCAGGAGGCAAATTTCATGAAGTCCATGTGAAATGGCTCATTCACAAAGTAACACACAATGGGCCAAATGGAGCAAGACACACCTGTGTGGGCCCCAGGACGGCTGCCAATCCCCAGCACCACATGCCTCACCCCTGGAAGAACTGGCCAAGGCCTGGAAAGGACACAGTGCAAACACCACCAAAGCATTTAGTGCTGCCAGCCAGAGCTTTGGGTAGAGCAAGAATGTGTGTTTGTGTTGAATGGGAAGGGAAGCTAGTAGGTGTCCAACAAACCCTGCCATGAATACTGGGGCCAAAAAAGAGGGGACCCGTAGGACAGATGTTGATCCCACTCAAAGTCAGCACAGCGGGATGCACTTAAAGGGCACTGAGCACGCAGGGGCTGTCACAAACCCATGAGGATCTGCAGGGTGTCTCCCACAAGTCATTTCTCTCAGAAGGATCATTACCTAAAATAGCAGAAAACATACGATCGAGGTTGCTCAATTTCAATATGCTGGGATCCTATCTCTGAGTGCCCACCTCCCCCAAAACCTCACTCTCTCACCCCACCTCTGCTTCTTTTCTCCCTGCCCATTTCTTTTCTGACTTCTTTCCCCACAACAGAATCTCTGATTCTCCACCCACGTCCTGTTCAGAGTCATCCACTTTCCTCCCCCACCCCCCAGACTCCCGGGGCCTCTGCACCTGGGGACACTGGACACATATGTGCCCATGATGATGAGGACGGTGCCCACGAGGAAGCCCACCAGGCCGATGGCCAGACCCAGGGCACAGACCAGGGTCTCCATGGCATCTGGTGGTGGAATAGGCACCTGGAGCTCTAGGAGAGAAAGGAAGGAGTCGGTGGTATATGAAAGGATTCTAGAGTAAAGGAAACCTGGGGCCAGGAGGGTGCATGGGGAGGGGGCTCCGTACCCCAATGCCTGAGGAGTGGCGCATCCAGGCCCCAGTGCTCCACCTGGCAGTCATAGACGTCCTCGGCTGAGGGCACGAAGGGCAGGTAGTGGAACTTGCGGAACAAATGGTCAGGCTGGGAATAGAAGCTGGTCTGGGCCACTCCCTCAGTGACAGTTTGGCCGTTGCGTAGCCAGGTGATATTGATCACAGGGGGGAAGATGTTGTCCACGATGCAGATGAGGATGTTGGGCTGGCCCAGCTCCACCCGAGACTTGGGGAGCACGGTCACCCGTGGAGGCACTAGGAGGAACGGGCCCTGAGTCCACAGGCTCATCCCTCACCCCAGGGCCTTACTAGGACTGGGATTAAGGGACGTTCCCCCTTTGTAGCCATCTGTGGGCAGGGGATGCTCTGGGGTATCCACTGGGGCAGGAGAGGAGGGAAACAGAGGGAGAGGAGACTGGGGAGGGAGTGGGGACGCCAGGAGCTCCTATATTTGACTGGTCCCTGGGCGGGAGTCCGGGTGAGAGGTGTCATTCCTCAAGGAGAGGGGTGCCAAAGGGGTCTGGGAAGACCTGGAGCCTCCTGGGAAAGAAAGGAACAGGGCATGACAGGCGCGGGCGCTGAGAGCGCGCCCCAGAGTGATGGGAACCTAGGAACTGGGAGGAAGTTTCTCTGGACCTTCCCGCCTGACTGGGTGGGCAGAGGGAGGGCCGGTACCGTTGATGGCTCTGCTGCGGTTGGAGCGCTCCACCAGGATGTCCAGATGGGCTTTGATTGCGGCGATGCCGGCCAGCCCACCCTGCGGGTCAAAGCGGGCAAAGTCACCAAACTCAGGCAGACGCCACACGGCCTCGCTTTTCTTCAGGTCCACAGAGAACAGCTGTTCCTCATCAAATTCATGGGTGAACTGGCCCGAGGCGCCGTAAGACTGGTAGAAGGCGGGTCCGTAGGAGCCCATGTGGTCAGCTGTGTTTGGCGAGTTCAGGGTCAAGGAGAGAGAAAAAAATGTGTCTGTCTCATCCACAATATGTGATTGTTGAGTCCCTGAGCCTGGGCCCCGTCCTGGGTTCTGTGTGGGGACAGAGTCCTGTTCTGACACTGGGCTGGCCCTGGGAGAGAGAAAGGGAGAGAGAACAGGAAGAAAGAGGCTCATCCCAGCACACTGCAGTCGGCACAGAGACAGTGCAGTCTGGCATATCAGGATGGGAAGAGGAGGGACTGCCTAAAATCATGCTTGGGGTTCCAGAATTTAAATCTTGGCTGTGGTCATCTGCCCTGGCTGTGTTGTCAGGCCCTGTGTTGTGAGCTGGTGGGACTGTGGGGGTGGGATGAGGAGGAATGATTAAGGACAGGAGAGTATGGAGCTTTGCACAGAGATGCAGTGCAGGTGGGTGTGAGGGGAAACAGGCCACGGCTGGCAGGGGTAAGAATTAAGGTTAGTGACCCAGAGACCAAGGGGATAGGGAGAGGCAACTCAAGGCATTACAAAGAGCACTGGACGAGGAGTCAGAAGTCAAGGTTCATGTCCCAATTCCTCCATCTCAGAGCATTATGACTGAGTGTGGCTCTTCCATAACTGTTGTCTAGTTTTCTGGAAGTTAGGGATTAAGTTTTAATTCTTGTAGAACTCTATGAAGTTGTTTGAGCAACAGTTATTGAGGAACTAGCATGCACCCAGCACAATGGGGGGCCAGGGAAATAAAAGAAAAAAAAGATGAACCATCTGTAGACCCGCACCCCAGCTCATGTCTCCCGAAGAACAAAGACAGGTAAATAGTTAACTACCGGCATGGGCATAAATACTGCAACAGAACTGGACTTGATCGGGCACATTCCAGGCCAGGGGTGGTAGAGAAATCAGGGTGCTTGCTGGCATCTGTTGGGTGGAGGTTTGGGTCTCAGGAAGGAGGAAGGAATGAGGAGAAATCTGAACGTCAGCAAAGGCTGACTGGGGCACCTGCGCAGCTGACCGAGCTGCATCTTCATTTAGGTCCAGAGTGGATGTGACAGAGATGAGGGGGATTGGGTGTCTCTTGGTGAAGGAAGTTGCCCATAAACCAGAGAGCGAGAGGAACAAGCATCCTCCATGCCACCTCCTCATGTAACCCAACTCCGTAAATCTCTGCTCCCCGCCGCACCCTCCTCGCCCTCGCACTCACCCTTGGTGGCCCCTGCCTCCTGCGGGCTCAGGAGGGTCATCAGGGTGTGGAACCCCAGGACCAGCCCTGCTCTGAGGGCCATTACACTCTGGTGCTTTAATCAAATCAGTCTCAGTCCGTGTGGTGAGGACAGGAACAAGGCGGAGGTAAAGAAGAAGAAAACAGATTCGAGGATGGGGGCGACCCCTTCTGTCTTCAGCCAATCACAGAAATTCTCTGAGTGAATGTATCTGTTGCTGGGTAAAGAGGGAAAGAGCCGGGGTGAGAAGGTGGAAGGATTCACTGGGCCCCCAGGAGAGGCCAAAGGAAGTTTTGGAGGATGGGAGGGGCTTGGACCAACTATTACCACGTCCTCCAAGAAGGGACCCCCTGAAGAGAGAGAAAAGGCCGTCAGAGCACCGCGCAGCTGAGCTCCAACAAATCCTCTCTCTATGTCCATCTGCGATGCAGGGAATCCTACTTTCCCAAGAAGTTTCCGTGGACAAATTTTGAGTTAGAAAGTAAAATAAACTTTACCAATAATCTTTAAAAGGAAAACATTGGCTACACAATGGAATAAAAACCTCTTAAAACTTTAAATCACTTTCAAAAATGTTATTTTATTTTTCTTTTATTATTATTTAATTTCATTGTGTAAGAAAAAATGTGTAATTGTTGGAGTTGTTTGGTCTAAAGCAAAGTGTAAAGAGCTCCCGTGGACTCCCCGAGGAGGGCAGAGGTGCTGGTCCTCTCTGTTGGTCCCTCCAGGACCCGGGCACCTCCTCCAGGCTGACACAGGCTGGAGGACGGCATCACCCTTGCCTTTGGCTTCTGGTTGGGCTCGGCTAATAAGAGGCACTGGGAGAATTTAGTCCAGTATATATATTTAAAAAACAAAACAAAACAAAACAACAACAACGTAAAGCTAACGTCTGTGTAAAGAGAAATCTAACCAAATTAGGCCATGTGTCAAAGACCATGAAATCGATGATTTTCAACTTGGAGGGAGCTAGGAAATCATGCGGGTCTCTGGTTCCAAATGAGAATCACCTGGGGGGTTCGTTATAATACGTGTTCCTGAGTTTCCTCTTTACTTAATGGGTTAGATTAGCCTTTCCAAGGCAGGGCCAGGGAACCTGTGTTTTCAGCATGCTCCCCAGGTGGTTCTCGGGTAGTCTGTGGACTGGTAAAACCTGCTCCAATGCTCTTTCCTCAATGAATAAGGGATGCCTATTTTAAGTGGGGCAGACACAGCTTCTGACTTCAAATTAATCAAATGACAGCTAGTAATTGATTTGCATGGCCCGGTTTATGGGGAGCCCTAATCTTAGTTTTTTCGTTTCTAGTCCACAGTGTCTACGTAATGCCTAGCACATCATAGGCGCCTAGGAGACACCTGCGCATGAATGAACAGTGTCTTCACTGCTTTGGTCCTGCCCTGGTTAGGACCCTTGCCACCTTCACCTCCCCCCAAGTGAGGTGGGAGCTGGAGCCATGAGATGAAAGACGGGAAAGCCATGAAAAACTCATGATAAAGAATGTTGCTTCTTTGGTTAATAACAGTCGAGTATCGGGTGTTTTTTTTTATTTGAAAACATACATAGATTTTTTAAAGTATGTTTTTTGTTATTAACTTATAATTTAATTACATGATAATCCTCTATGGCTTGGAGTGTGGTGAACTTCTGTAAATATTTCACATGGGCTCTAATAAATGTGATGCAGAATTTTATACATGTACATGTTTATTGGATCAAGCATGTGGATTTTGTCATTCTAATTTATTACGGTTTTCTTTATCTTTGGACTGGCCTATACATAACTAAGAGTGGTGCATTTATTTATTTATTTTTTAGAGACAGGGCCTTGCTCTGTTGCTCAGGCTGGAGGGCAGTGAAGTAATCATGGCTCGCTGCAGCCTCAAACAGCTGGGCTTAAGCGATCCTCCTGCCTCAGCCTCCCAGAGTAGCTGGGACTATAGGCATGCCCCACAATTCCTGGCCTATGAATGGTATATTTAAATCTCTAACTGTGACTGTAGGTTTTTCAACTTGTTTCTAATTTTTAAATCAACTTTTGCCCTCTCTGCATTTAGGTTATTAAGGTGTTTACTCTTGGGAATTATTACAGTCTTGGTGAACTGAGCCTTTTCCCAATTTGTCCTGAGAATCTTTCTGTCCTACTCTGTCTTGTCTGATAGTAATAAGTTCTACAGCTGTCTTTGGGTATTTGTTCACTGTATCTTTTTCTACTCTTTTGTTTTTACTCTTCCTTTGTACTTATGCTTTAGATGTAGCCCTTGAAATGTCATAAATATAGATTTTTGCTTCTGATTCAATCTGACGATCTCTGTCTTCTAACCTATGTTCAATTCATATGGTAGTCAAAGTGAGCAAACTTGTTTCTGCAAGAGACAAACACTGAAGCCTCAGTGGTTTAACAAAACACAGGTTTATTTTTTAGCCACGTGTAGTTCAAGGCAGGTTGGGCACTCTGTAGCTCTTTTCCAAAACATGCCTCAAGGTGGCTAAGCTCCACTTTGCATCTCTATTATTGAAAAGCACTTCATGAACTCCTAGCTTTGCAGGTAGGAGAGAGAACCTGGGAAAGGCACATTGTTTCCATGGTTTTGGACCAGAAACTATTTGCCATCTCTGCTCACATTCCATTGGCAAGAAGTAAACAATGACCCCACATAGGCGCACGGGGATGGAAAAATGTACGTTACCTATGTGTGCAGGAAGATATAATGGTTTGGTGAGCACATGGCCCTGTCTTTGCTGCATTCTGATTGTGTTTATTGTGAATATTGATGCACTTGGGCTTGTTTGTAATACCTTATTTATTTCAATATTTCTATTTTTTAAAGTTTTTTTGTTTGTTTGTTTGTTTGTTTTTGAGACGGAGTCTCGCTCTGTTGCCAGGCTGGAGTGTAGTGGCATGATCTGGGCTGGCTCACTGCAACCTCTGCTTCCCGGGTTCAAGCGATTCTCCTCAGCTTCCCGAGTGGCTGGGACTCCAGGTGCATGCCACCATGCTTGGCTATTTTTTTTTTTTTTTTTTTGTATTTTAGTAGAGACGGGGTTTCACCGTGTTGCCCAGGCTTATCCTCCTGAGCTCAGGCAATCTGCCTGGCTCGGCCTCACAAACTGCTAGGATTACAGGCGTGAGCCATCACACCCGGCCAAGTTTTCTTTTTTAATCTTCATTGCCTTTTTTTTTTTTAAGTGTTACCGATACCTTCTCCATCTTCCCTCTGACTGGATAAGAACTTTAGCATGCTTTCAAATTTATTCACATATTTTCTCCTTCACCAAATTATTTGGTCAACATTACTTTTCATATCTTTTGGCACCTTCTAGAATGCGTTCTCTGATTAGAATTCTTCTTCCAAAACCTTTCAGATGTGGGAATTTGCATAGCAAACCTTCTAAAGTCTTGTATGCTTGATAATTTTTTAAAATTATACCAGCACTTTTGAATAAAGTTTAGCTGTGTATTACATACTATTTGAAGTATTTTCCCCTTTAATATTCTAAATAACATCATTCCAAATTTTTTTTTTTGCATCCAATGTCACAGTTAGAAAATCCCATGTCAGTCTTTCATGCTGGAATCTTCTAGAATTTTCTCATTGTCTTTGATATTTTTAAATTTTGCTAGTGTGTCTAGAGTGGGTTTTTCCTTCTCTCTGTAAGACATTATGGATCTTCTCTATCTTTTAATTCTGGGAATTCATCTTTTTATTTCTTTAACTATTTTTCTCCTCTATTTTTTGTCTTTGTGAAACTCATATAATCTATATTTGGATAATTCTCTCCTCCTTTTCCCCTGACTTTTCTATTGATGACTTCTCAATTCTTCCCTCTTTTGTTCTGAACTAGCTCCTCAGTGTAGTCCTCCATCTTTCTGTTTTGTTTTTCAGTTGCATCTCTCCCACTATTTATCCCATTAATGTGGCTTTTACTTTGACTATTATATATATTTTTTACACCTAGAACTTCTAGGTGTTTTCCCTATATTCTCTATTTTTTCATATTATAATAGCTTCTGACTTTTAAAGTGCACTTTTAATGCTCATTTTAAGCGGCTGGTCTATATTTTCTACCACTTCTTTCAAGGACATAGATGGTCCTGTTTGCTGTTTTTCTTTTGAGGTGTCGGCACTCCCTAAAGGTATTATTTTGACCCACTAGTGGCCATCTGTGTTGGTGTCATGTGTGTAAAGAGAAAGGAGGGCCAGCTGGAGTCCTAGGCCAGCGCAAAACCATAGTCACTACCCTTTGGGTGTCACTTCAGGTCAGGACTTCAGGGTGGGAGCACTAGGAGGCGTAGGGAGCACTGATAGCTGGGGTGGCAGAGGAGGCAATGACTAGGGCAGTCCCCAGCTCCTCCCACTCCAGCAGGATTTCAGCTTGGATTTTCTCACCCACCCCTCAACAGCTGGACAGGCAATCAGGATCTTGCCATCGTTTTTTGCAGCAGGGAGCAGGCAGTGATTGCTCAAGGCCAACACCGGGGAGGCAAGAGCAGAAGGTTCCAGGAACCTTCTCATAGCCACAGCCAGCAAGCAACCCAGTTCAGAACACCTTTCAGTCTCACCAGGGCTTCCTCATTATTTGTTTTCTTGGAATGTATATGTATGGTCCACATTCCCTCCTAGATGGAAAGGGCCTGTAAGAAGGGATCATGGATGATTGAATCTTTGTTACACAATCTTCCTTTTCCCCCTAAACGCTAGCACGTTATTAAATAAATAAGTCAATGATAACAAATAAAAGTGAATAAAGTGGATAACCCTGACTCTAGGGAGAGGTACTGTTATTGGGACTAGAGTCTAATAATGAGGCAAACACAGATTCGACAAAAACTTACTAAAGTGTCCTTTAAAAATGACACAAATCCAGTTGTTCTAAATTGTCTAAAATGCTGACTTTGAGGTAAAGTTGTATCTGTCATGTTCTTTGGAGCATGACAAGTTCAGGTAGGTGTTGGGGGATATTCTTCATTAAATACATGTTTATAGGACACCTGATGTGACTTAGGCACTGTGTGCTGCTCTGGGAGCACAGAAGAGCAGGACATGATCCCCTTCCTCAAGGACTGTGCTGTCCTGTGCAGTAGCCACAAGCCACCTGTAGCTATTAAGCCAAAAAAAACTCTAAGTATAAAATGCCCTGGGATTTGAAGACTTAATTAAATGTATATACATAATCTCAGTAATTTCTATATTAATTAATGTTCAGTTTGCAATTTTTTGTATATTTGCGGTTTAAAATATGTATTAGATTAATCTCACCTGTTTCTTATTCCTTTTTAAATGTAGCTACTAGAAAATTTGAAATTGAATTAAGAGGCTCCCATTATATTTCTACTGGACAGCGCTGCTCTGGGTGCTCTTGGTTGGCTACCAGTTGGCCACTGGCTCCTTTTCTGAGATTTTTACATTTAAGTAGCCAGCTTGCCAGAGTCTTCAAGTCCTTTCCTGTTACTACCTAGATATTCCACCAGAGGGCGACCTTACCATTGAATTTTTCCATTCTGGACCTTAGATCTGACTGTTTGCTGGTGCATCGCTCTGTTTTAATCTATTTTGCTTTAAGTGCCGTGCTAGGCTTTGGGACCACAATTATGGTTCCTGCCAACAAGAATGGCTGTCTTGGAAGTCTGTACACAGAACTAAATACGTGGTGGAAAAAGGAGAAGGTCTATTAATGTGCAATATAAATGTTCATGTGGCCTGCAACTTTCTGGGGCAATCCTTTCCCTAGTAATTAAGCAGTTTCAAGTGCCTGTCTAATTGCAGGAATTCAAATGGCTCACTGCTGTCACCAGAATGTCTGATAATTCCTGGACAGAGAAGTGATGCAAATGTGTGCTTACGTATGGAGTTGATGGCATCTCCTGCACCAGCCTCCTGCCCTGGGCAGACTGTTGTGGTCATTTGGGGGCAGCTCCCCAGCACAGCAGATTTCTTGCTGGCCATCACTTTTCAAACTCTGGACTTCTGCCCTTTGGCTGGGAACTGCTCACTTCCCTTAGAACTTTCCCCTCCCGTCTCCTGACTTCTCTAAATGCCAGAGTTCCAACCTCTGTCTCCTGGGAAATTCTAAGCTAAAATCACTCTTCCTTTATATCTGCAGATAGTTTGAAATTTATACATCAAAAAAAGTAACTTTAAAAATATATAACTGGTCTCATTACACTCTGGAGCAACAATTCCAAATGATGGTAGGAAAACCCCAAAATTGGCCATCGAAAGGCATAGATACAGCCCTTCCTGTTTAAAAGAGGTATTTTTGAAAAACTTCAAATGTCTTCTGGGAAAGGCACAATCTTTCACGGTTTCTTCTCTTCCCCCTCTCCCTCCCCCTTTTGGGAATGACATCCTGGGGCAGAGGATGAACTTACAGAGCGTGCTGGCTGTGGGAAGCTGGGTCTAGGTGGCATTTTTTCTCTTTTCTGATGGTTCTCTGCCCCCAGTTCCTTGGCCTGTCCCCATCGCTCGCCAACATTTCCGTGGCTGGTCTAATCTGCGATCGATTATCCCTGACGAAGGCAGTGGGGCTCAGCCACCTTGCCTGCTGGTGGCCCCAGCGTGGCTCTGCTACTACTCACATCCTTCCAGTTTGGCGAGGCTGCAGCCTGATCCTGGGCCCGTGTGTTCTGGGCTGTGGCCCCTGGCTCCAGGCCAGTTCAAGCCTCTCCATGACCATCCTGAACACCAATTTACTGCACGTCAACTCACTAAAATCAACCCATCAACTAATCAGAAATTAATACATCAAATCATCAATTCCCCAATTTTATCAATTTGCCAAAAACTTGACTTTAAAGTTTTGTCCTTTTATATTGAATTTAATGGTTTTTACAACTTTTGAAGACTTCTGAAAATGTTGGTTAATTTGCCTTTCCTTTTGTTTTCATAGTAGCTTATAAGTAATATTCGATTTGTCAGATGTTGGTGATACAGGGAGAAGATGACAATGGTGACAGAGTGTTTTTCATCTTCCCAAGTGTCCTCACAAAAACAGAGAGTGCAATTGGGATAGCAAAGGAAAATATCCACAGGCAGTGTCTCTTTATCAGACCAGGGATATCCCTAGAAGATCCCGTGAGACTCTAGAATGTGTGTGGGTAGATCCAAGCTGTAGATCCAAGGTAGATCCTGTGGGCTCTAGTGCCATGTGGAGGTAGCAGAGGGTTGAGAGGAGAGGGTTCTGGTGTTTCTAAGATCTCAGGAACACAGAAGTGGCCAGTGAGTGCCCACCTCCCAAAAGAGGTGATCTCAGTCTAGAATGAATCCCCAGCAGAGAGCTCTAAGGACCTAGACTTTTGTAAATTTAGAAACTCCCTTTTCTCTTACCAATGTCTAATTTTTAAGACTATGACTTTGATATAGCTGTCAATATTCTGTTTTGGAATATTGTTTGCTTTTGGTCTTCTGTGATAAAAATCCAAATTTTCCCCTGGGTGAATAGGCATAAGGTCACATCTAAAGAAGTGCAAAAGGAAAACATTAAGACCTCTAGTAAATTAATGTTTTTATAATAACATATATCTCCATATGCTTCACAGAAACATGTAACTTCTGTCTATACAAGCTTTGGGTATTTCATTTATAATGAAATGGCGCATTAACGTGTTTTTCTAAATCAAAAGTCAATTTCCTCCTTGAGATTAATTACATCTCCAGAATATGAAAGCAGCTTCTGACACTATGTATTTGAAATAGCAATTTCCCATGTTTGCTATAACAACAATAAATAAATTGTTGCGTAATACACAAAAGGGAATTCTTAATTCTGCCCTAGGTAGGAGAAGCTAGAGAGAAGATGACATTTGAACTGTGCCTTGGAGGATAAATACAAGTCTACTGATGCGGAGAAGAGGATGAGAGCCTTGCAAGGAGAGAAGATGGCCTGGGCAAAGGCACAGAGGCCTCAAAGTATATGGTGGGCAGGGGACTGCTGCATGGCCAAGTAAACGAGGAGCCGGAGGAGACGAGGCTTAGGAAACAGGCTGGTGTCAAATTGTGAAAGCCGCAGATGTCCTGCTAAGTAATAGGGTTGTGCCTTATCTATGATTAATGGCAAGCAGGCACAGTTTTTGCCTTGGAGCCCGGTGAAAGCAGGATTGACTTGAATTGATAGAAAGAGAAAAGAGGCAGCAAACCATTTAATTGATTGACTGATCAATTAATTAATTACCCGAGTCTCCTTGTGAAAGTTCCAAACCTTCTCACTCTCCTCTCACTCCACATTCAGTTCTACATAGCAGCAGGAATTCCTTGGCTCTTACTTCATCAAGAAAATTGGTCAGGCACACCCTTCATCAGCGACATTCTGACCATTTGGAGACCCTGGTTTCTCTTTCTTCTTCTTCCTGAAGTCTCAGAGGCTGGGGCTCTTCCTGCTCCAGGCTAACCCTGACCTCCAGTTATGCGCTCGAGACCTTCACTCCTGCCTCCACTGGGAGCTTGTCTCAGCTGTCCTCCCTTCTATCTCTCTGTTAACTCTAATCAGCCCCCTGCTGCCAGATCCTTCCCTTCAGTTTAGAATTTAGGCTCAAATCTTCCTTGTCCCTAATGCTCTTCTCATCTCCCTAGCTTCCACCCTCATCTTTCTTCTTTACTCTTCCCATGTTCCTTAAAGAAAATGTTACACTTCTGTGTTTCCTCTTTCTCCCCTCCCACTCATTCTCAGCCCCACTGCAGTCTGACTTCCTTGTCCATGACCTCAGTGGGACAGAAATTGATTGCCAAGGTCACCAAATCTTTATCTTTGTGGAGTTTTCTGCTGCTTTCATCACAGTAGATCATTCCACTTTCTTGAAATCTCTCCTTATTCAGATTTCAAGACATCACACTCCTCTGATTTTCCTGACACCATTCAGATCATTCATTCTGGGGCTTCTGCTCCTCTGGGAATCTCTAAATGCAGAGTGCCTCTAGGGATCTGTCCCCAGCTAACAATGTCTCCTTGATCAAACATTCATTTGTATAGCTTCAATTCTTAGTCATCTAATTATACCTAACATAGCAAAGAACAATCCTTGGCATCTACTAGGTGCTTAGTAGCTGTCACATCTTTTCTTCTTCTCAGACCTTTTGAATACAGCAACCTGGTCTTCTATTAATGGAGAGCAAAATCTAACCATTCCACCTCCTCTCTCCTCAGGGCCACAATTTTATTCTTCTAGATATCTCTTCTTTCTCTACATTAATCCACTTCTTTTTCCATTTCTGTACACTCACTTTCCTTCTTTGGCTCTCTTCATCTGATCAAAATGAAAAATTAAAAGATATTTCAATGTTTTTGTGTAATAGCTAATCTATTATAAAATATTTATATTCTTAGACATGCAGCTTTATTATGCAATCACAAATGTTTTACACGTTTGACTTTTCTCAAAACCAAAAATCAGTTTTTAAAATTGCTTTTTACCTATATGTGGTTCTTGCTTGATGAAAACAAGCAACTAGAAAAAACTGGTCTACTTCCACTCAAACAGTGTCTCCAACTATGTGGCTTGCCCGGCTACCAGACCCTTCTTGAGAAATATTCTGCCAGACACAAATGAACACTCTTAGTTCACACTGCCCATTGGCACACGAGGGCATGCAGAGTGTTCTCTATGGAGAAGTAGGTGCTTACAGCAGAAATAGCCTTCCATGAGGTTGCGTCGGTTCTGCTTTCACTTTCCCGTCTCATGCAAAGTGGCCCAGAAAACAGCAGCCCCTCCCTGGAACTATTTCCTTCCTTTCTCAGAGAGTTGCATCTCCTGCTCTCTGGAAAGTTTCATGAGGAAATGGATTGCCTCTGTTCTTGGTGAAAATTAACTCCATTACTAAGTTCTTAATCTTTTTTGTTTATATAGCTCTCATTCCAAAAGACAATCTCCCTGACTGGGCTAGAAAGTCATATGTTTGTAAATAATCAGAGAGAGGCCAAGGAAAAGGACAGAGCTGGCCACTGAGCCCAGAGGGCTCTGTTATCAATCCCATGGCAATTCACTGCTAGTCTTCTGCAAAAGACACATGACCCAGAGGAGACCCTCAGACACGAGGAAAGAGGAACTCTGTAGGGGACTTAGAGGCAATCTCTTTAATTGGAGGGGCTAAATAGCTTTCCTCTCATGGTTTGCAGCTCAGTGTAAGGCCAGGCAAGCTCCCAGGAGGCCATCCAGGCTGTGAGGTCCCTAGAGAATCTCAGAGACCACACCAAAGGGTCACTCCTGTCTTAGCAACTGAGTAGGAAGCATTGTTGCCACCAAACTGTACAAATCTGAGAAACTTAGTCAAGGAGGGAAGGGAGGACTTTGGGGCTTAGAGTTAAGCAGACTACTGCCCAGACAGGCGATGGCAAGGACAGGCAGAGTCCAAAGTGTCCTTTGAGACAGAAGCAGCATCAATGGTGTGGTGATAATCCAAGGACATGATAGAACTTCAGGGGATAAACACACACGGATTCTAGAGAAAAACTGTATACACGGCCAGCGTGGATTAGTCTCAAAGCCAAGGGGAGGTTTGATGGGACTGAGATGTCTTCATGAGGCCAACCCGGAGTGGGACTGCCCTCATTTCCAGAGGATTTAGTAAGTAGGTTTGGGCAGAGAGTCAGGCTGGGACCAGCTATAAAGGCTTTGCCAATCTGACTTGACTTAGTGCCATAGGAAAGTGAAGGCAGGAAACTGATGCTAATTGATTCTGGGCCTCTTGTTTTCTGCCTCAAAATAGAGAGCTCTGGGATTGAGGAGGGAATCATACTAGCACCATAAATGGTTTGAAAGGTGTAAAGGGGAAAATGTGAAAACATTTTTTATATGTCATGTCAAAGTCCAGTCTGTCTGGAGCACAGCGTGTTTGTAAGGACACAGAGGGAGGTCAGGCTGAGGAAAGACTGTAGACAACTGCAATGCCAGGCTCAGGATGTGGGACTTTGCAGGCAGTGGAGAGACAGTGATGGTTTTTGAGGAGGAAGTGAGATGATCATGGTTGTGTTCTAGGATTATTAACCTGGCACTAGTGTAGCAAATAAATTCGATCTGAGGGTGGCAGGAAGGTTAAAGAAAAAATAAGAACAGCCTTAGCCAACTGCTTTGGAGAACAACAGGGTAAGCTCAGAAATGCCCAATTCGATACAATAATTATCACAAAAGGAGTTGCATTTGTAACGTACGTATTACTTTTTAATGTGCCTTTTCATCTGTCACATCATCTGGTGCCTCTGGTGTGACCTTCCAAGTCCATCCTCCTTCCTGACCCTATCCATCCAGGCTCAGCCCCTGGGAGTGTGCCCACTGCTCCTACAGTGCCTTCCACCACTGGTCCTGAGTTTTGGAGAAGACATAGGGAGATGACAAAACTTTAGAAACAACGGAAACAATTTAGGGAATGGGGTGGTCACTATGAGAGGAATAAAAGATGTCCACTGTAGACAGCATATATGGTGCAAGTCTATAATCTTGGAAAAAGTCAGACTACATTAATCTTGTTCACCAAATCCTGAAATACACAACAGGGAGAGTCTTTTAAACTTTGAAGATGGTAAGTTTAACATAAGTAGAAAAGCAGACTCTCTCATACCAAGGCTAACAAACCTATGGGAACCTGTTAGTCCCAAAAGTGAAATGTGTAAATTCTCAAAACATGTACATATATATATATAATCTACTCACACACACACAAGGGTGACAGAAACTTGAAGGACTGCTAAGAGAGCTCAAGGATATTTATGGCCTATTTAAACTTATGAAGCTTCTGTGGAGGAAATCTGTCCTTCTACACTTTGTCCCTGATGAAAGAGAGAAACCCTATGCTTACAGCAATATCCACCAGGAGTGATTTTGCCTCACAGGGGATATTTGCCAATGTCTGTAAACATTTTTGTTCTCACACTAGGAGAGGGGAGCACTATTGATATCTGGTGGGTGTAGCCCAGGGATGTTGGATGTTGCTAAACATCTTGGAATGCGTAGGACAGCCCCCAGCACAAAGAATTATTCAGCCCTAAATGGCAATGGTGCCAGGTTGAGAAACCATGGCTTAGGGTCATGCTCCTGCCCTAAAGTGCCATTGCTATTGTTTGCAAGTTTAATTATTCCAGGAGCTATACCTCTGTTAAGGACTGAATTTTATCCCTCCCCACAACTCGAAATTCCTATGTTGAAACCTTAACACCTAATGTGAATGCTTTGGAGACAGGGCCTTTAAATAGGTAATTAAGGTGAAACGAGGTTATCCAGGTGGGGCCCTAAGGCCCCTTATAAGGACTGGTGTCCTTATAAGAAGAGGAAGAGACACCAGGAGAGCAAATGCACAGAGGCCCTGTGAGGACACAGTGAGAAGGCAGTCATCTCCAGGCCAGCGAGAGAGGCCTCAGAATGGAACCTACCTTGCTGGCAACTTGATCTTGGACTTCCAGACTCTGAGAAAATAAGTTTAAGTTTAAGCCACCCAGCCTGTGGTATCTTGTTATGGTGGCCCTGGCTAACTAATCACCCTTTCTCACTTACCTTTAGCTCTTCCTTACTCAATAAGTTTCCACTGAAAACTAGATGCTGGTGTGGTCCCCCTGCCCGATGTGCACACGTGGCCCACTGCAGATGGACCTACACAAGTGGCGCTGGAACCCTGAGGGGCTGAGGGGACCCCGCGTCCAGGCCACCCAGGTGCGGGGTGAGGGGGCACCCCAACTTCCCTGGATCACATGGGCTGCGGTGGCCGGTGGATCAGGGAGGAGAGGCGCGGGGAGCTTGCTGCAACTCCTCACCAGGGCAGGAGGGAAGATGCCCCCCACCTCCTCTAGTTCACCCTCTGGATTCAAGTTTGTCAGCCCCTGCCGCTGAGATCAGGGGATGGCACCAGATAGAATTTTAATTCAAAAGGAAGCAGAACTTAAAGATTAAGAAAATTCTTAGCCTATCCATATTGTGAAAACTAAGAAATCATGTTCAGGACAGAACACCAGTGGTGTGTCTATGTAACCATCGGATGAGGAAATTAGTATGGATCAACCATCTCAGTGGAATCTGGGTGCTATTCATCAAGGCAATGAAAGAATGACCCAAAGACATTTCAGATCAGGGCTGCCACTCCTATCCGAGGTGCGGAATACAAGGGCATGAGGGACAGAATGATTTCAAAGGAGGGGCTGCAGGTACTTGTGGGGCTTCAGCACTCACTATCATGGGCCACCTTGAGGCTCTGCTCTCCACATTCCATCACAGGGCTCCTAGGCTACCCCAGGTATGGCTCCAACAGATCCTGGTTTAGTGAGTGCTGTGCTCTGAAAAGCTGTGCGGGCATGGTAACCTCCACCTAGATTTCAAAGGATGCTCTGGAAAGCCACAGTGCGTAGGCAGAAAGCCACCATGTGCAGGGCCACCATGGAGAGATTGCACTGCGCAATGCCCAGTGAAGCAGTAGGGTAAGGCCACCCCTGAGGCCCTAGACCAATTGAACCACTGGTATACAATTTCAGCCTGGGAGAGCCTCGGGCACCCAGCTGCCTCAGAGGTAGGGCCACCAAAGGGAGCAACTATGAGGGCAGGGCTGCACAAAGCCATGAGGCAGAGGCCACCTCCCCAGTGTGCCTGGAGGGCAGAACCTTGATTCAAAAAGATTATTCTGGAAACTTGACTTGCTCAGGACCTGGTACACTTTTCTTCTCTCCCATTTCTTCCTTTTGGAATAAGAATTTCTATCCTATGCCTGTCCCATCATTATATTTTGGAAGCAAATAGCATATTCGATTTCACAGCTGGAGAGCAATTTGCCTCACAATGAATCATACCTTGAGTCTCATCCATATCTGATTTATCCTCTTAACCCTTTTATGTGTATAGCTCAGTTGGGTAAATAATATTCACATTGTTGTGTGACAACTCTAGAACTTTTTTATATGCAAAATGAAACTTTATCCTCAGGGAACAACTCCCTATTTCCCGCTCTTCCCAGCTCCTGGAAACCCCCACTCTGTTTCTATTATTTTGACTTTAGATATCTCTTATAAGTGTAATCATACAGTATTTATCTTTTTGTGACTGGCTTATTCCACTTACCATAATGTTCATCCATGTTGTACCATGTAAGAGGATTTCTTCTTTTTTTAAGGCTGAATAATATTCCACTGCATATACATATATATATATACACACACCACATTTTCTTTATTCATTTATCTGTCAATAAACTTTTCGGTTGTTTACACCCATTGTCTATTGTAAATAATGCTGCAATGTACATGAAAGCAGAAATATCTTTATTAAATGCTGATTTTGTTTCCTTTGGGTATGTATCTAGACATGGAATTGCTGAATCATGTGATAATTTTATTTGTAAACTTTTTAGGAAATCTCATACTGTTTTCCATGGTGGCTGCACCATTTACATTCCTACCAACAGTGCACCAGGATTCCAGTTCTTGACATCCTCGCTAACACTTGTTATTTTTTTTGTTGGGTTGGTTTTGTAGTGGCCACCTTAATGGCTGTGAGATATCTATCTCATTGTGGTTTTGATTCATGTTTCTCGAATAATTAATGGTGTTACACATATTTTCATACACTTGTTGGCTATTTGTATATATTATTTGAAGAATTATCTGTTCAAGTCCTTTGCCCATTTTTAAACCAGGTTATTTGCTTTTTTAATTGACAAAGAAAAATCATATATACCTATCATGTACAACGTGATGTTTAAAATATGTATGCATTGTGGAATGGTTAAATTGACCTAATTAATATATGCATTATATACTTCTATGGTGAGAACACTTAAAACCTACTCTCTTAGCAATTTGCAAGAATACAATGCATTGTTATTAATTATATTCACCACATTGTACACTAGGCCTCTTGAACGTATTCCTCCTATTTGGCTGAAATTTTGTAACCTGGGACAAACATCTTTCCAACCAGCAGCATTTTCAGCTCCTAATAACCACCATTCTATTCACTATTTTTATTAGTTCAACTTTTTTGGATTCACATATAAATGAGATTATGTGGTATTTGTCTTTCTGTGGCATATCCACTTAACATAATGTTCTTCAAGTTCATCCATTTTTGTTGTGAGTGACAGGATCTTACTCTTTTTTAAGGCTCAATAGTATGCCATTGTGTGTATATACCACATTTTCATTATCCATTTATCTGTTGATACACACTTAGGTTGTTTCCATATCTTAGCTATTGTGAACAATGTTGCAATGAACATGGAGCATAAGTATCTCTATGAAGTGCTGATTTCATTTCCTTTGGGTGTATGCTCAGAAATGAGATTGCTGGATCACATGGTAGTTCTATTTTTAATTTTTTAAGGAGCCTCCATACTGTTTTCCATAATGACTATATAATTTACATTCCCACCAACAGTGTACAAGGGTTCCCTTTTCTCCACACCCTTGCCAGCACTTGTTACCTGCCTTTGGCAATAGTCATTCTAACAGTTGTGAGATGGTATCTCACTGTGGTTTTAATTTTCATTTCTCTGATTAGCTATGTCGAGCATTTTTTTCATATGCCTGTTGGCCATTTGTATGTCAACTTTTGAGAAATGTCTTTTCAAATCCTTTGCTCATTTTAAAATCAGGCTGTTTTCTTGCTATTGAGTTGTTTGGATTCCTATACCCCTTATCAAGCATATGGTTTGCAAATGTTTTGTCCCATTCCATATGTTGTCTCTTCACTCTATTGATTGTTTCTTTGGCTGTAAGAAAAACAAGGTTTTTAGTTTGATATAATCCCATTTGTCTATTTTTGCTTTTGTTGCCTGTGCTTTTGGGATTATATCAAAAAATTATTGCCCAAACTAATGTCATGGAGCTTTTCTTCTATGTTTTCTTCTAGTAGTTTTACAGTTTCAGGTCTTATGTGTAAGCCTTTATTCTGAGTTGATTTTTGCATATGGTGTGAGATGACAGTCTAGTTTCATTCTTCTACATGTGGATATTCAGTTGTCCCAATACCATTTATTGAAGAGACTATGCTTTACCCATTGTTGGTTCTTGGCACCTTTGTTGAAAATCAATTGACCATGAATGTGTGGATTTGTTTCTGGGCTATTTTGTCAATGCATCTGTTTTTATGTCAGTACCATGTTGTTTTGATTACTATGGCTTTGTAGTATATTAGTATATTTTGAAATCAGATAGTATGATGCCTCCAGTTTTGTTCTTTTTGCTCACAATTGCTTTGGCTATTCAAGGTCTTTTGTGGTTCCATATGAATTTAAGGATTTTTTTTTCTGTTTCTGTGAAAAATGTAAGGAAATTTTGATAGGGATTGCATCAAATCTGCAGATCACTTTGGGTAGTACAGACATTTTAACAATATTGATTCTTATAATCTATAAACACAGGATATCTTTCCATTTGTTTGTGACTTCTTCAATTTCCTTCATCAGTGTTTTATAGTTTTAAGCGTATAGGTCTTTCACCTCCTTTGTTAAATGTATTATTTTACTTATTTACTTATTTTTAGCTATTGTAAATGAGATTGTTTTATTGGTTTCATTTTCAGATAGTTCTTTGTTAGTGTGATGCTACTGATTTTTGTATGTTGATTTTTGTATCCTGCAACTTTACAAGATTCCTTTATTTTTTTTTCAGTACAATCTGTATTCTGTTGCAACTAGATTTCTTTATTACTTCATAGTTTTTAAGTGGAGTTATTATGGTTTTCTATTTATATAATCATGTCATCTACAAACAGTGACAATTTACATTTTTCCTTTCCAATTTGGATGATTTTTATTTCTTACTCTTGCCTAATTGCTGGCTAGAACTTCAGTACTATGTTGAATAGAAATGGTTAGAGTGGACCTCCTTGTCTTGTTCCTGGTCTTAGAGGAAAAAAATTTCAACTTTTCACCATTGAGAATGATATTAGCTATGAGTTTGTCATATATGACCTTCATTGTGTTGAGGTGCATTCCTTATTTGTTGAGAGTTTTTTTTTAAATCACGAAAGGATGTTGAATTTTGTCAAATGCTTTTTCAGAGTCTATTGAGATATTAATATGGTTAGTATTCTTCATTCTGTTAAAGTGGTATGTCACATTTTTAGATTTGAGTATGTTGAAACATCTTGCATCCTTGGAATAAAACCCACATGATCATGATAAAAGACCCTTTTAATGTGCTGTTGCATTCATTTTGCTAGTATTTTGCTGAGGATGTTTATAGGCTATTTGTCATTGTTGCTGCTGTTGAGTTGTAGAAGCTCCTTATATATTCTGGATATTAACTTCTTACTGAAAAGATAATTTGCAAATATCTTATTTCATATTGTTTTTCACTCTGTTGATTGTTTTCATTGATGTGCAGAAATGTTTAAGTTTGATGAAGTTGGATTTGTGTATTTTTTGTTGCCTGTTTTTGGTCATATCCAATAAATTGTTGCAAAATTTAATGTCATAAAGTTTTCTTCTATGTTTGATAGAACTTCTAGGAGTTTGATACTTTTAGCTCTTACATTTAGGTCTTTTATCCATTTTGAGTTAATTTTTGTATTTGCATATGGTGTCAGGTAAGAATCCAACTTCATTATTTTCCATGTGGATATCCAGTTTTCCCAACGCAATTTGTCGAAGAGATTGACCTTTCCCCATTGTATACTCTTGGCACCCTGGTGGAAGATCATTTGACCATATACTTGAGGGTTTACTTCTGGAATAGACAGTTGACATTGGGGTACTCAGAAAACAGCAAGAATCTAAGAGTGTTTGAGGGTCTATTCTTAGAAAAAAACCTTTTTCATACCTCATAATCTCTGCTTTTGTGAATCCTTTCTATCTTTGAAAACAAAATCCATACTTATTCATTCATTTATCATTCATTCATTTACTCACTTACTTAACTCGATTTTATTGAGCACTTAGTGGCAGGATTCAGAGTAAAGACCCCCCTGTAGGACTTACGTCCTTCAGTTATCCTCAGTTTTTAATGATTCATGTTTCATCTTAGCTCCTGTAACTCTTCCATATGGTCGTTCATTTACTGTACCCATAGTGTCCCGTATTTGCATGGGACTCAAATATATATGTCTTGAATCTAGACAAGGGATATTGTGTTTTAAGAAGTTATAACAATGAACAAATTCCATTCGCCCAGAGCAACTTTCTAATGGATTATATATATATATATATATATATATATATATATTTTTTTTTTTTTTTTTTTTTTTTTTTTTTGAGACAGAGTCTCGCTCTGTCGCCCAGGCTGGAGTGCAGTGGCCCGATCTCGGCACACTGCAAGCTCCGCCTCCTGGGTTCACGCCATTTTCCTGCCTCAGCCTCTCGAGTAGCTGGGACTATAGGCGCCCGCCACCGCGCCCGGCTAATTTTTTGTATTTTTAGTAGAGACGGGGTTTCACCGTGGTCTCGATCTCCTGACCTCGTGATCCGCCTGCCTTGGCCTCCCAAAGTGCTGGGATTACAGGCGTGAGCCACCACGCCCAGCTCTAATGGATAAATTTAAGACACAACTATAAGATGGGAGTGGCTGAAAAAGCAGGGACTTCCTAATGCCCTGAAATCATGTGATAACTTTTTATCTTCTCTAAGACTGTCTGGCATGGTTTTCTCTTCTATTATTTTTGACAAATGTGGTACCTCTAGGCGTGAGTTTTTCTTTCACTTCTCATTTCTCCAACCACAAATGCTGTCACAGGCCAACAGGGAGAATTCAGTGATACATCATACTCATCCCTGAGCTGTGATGTTGGCTCTCCACCTCTATCAGCCATCAGATTTTCATATTATCTTGCCTCTCTCTTCCTCTTTCCTTACACCAAACATTGATTCATCAAGGAGTCTTACCACTTTACTATACTTCCATTTCAACTCACACTCAAATTCATCACTGATAATGTCTACTTTATAAAATATTCCTTCAAAGCAGCCATTGGCCTAATCCCCAGATGATGCCATTGATCCATGACAATAGGGAGAATAATGTCTCCATCATTACTTTCTTCTCATAGTCTTTTAATTCCTTATACAGAGGCTAGTTTCAACTGCAGAAGTAACATGGGGTCCTTTGTCTATCAAACACTCCCCTTGTAACATTCATATCTGCTCTGGGACAGAAATCTGTCCTTTGGACACCAGAGTAGGAGGTTTAAGAAAGGCCAAACGTTGATACAATCCAACTGTTGTAGAGTGATAAGGAAGGCAGTCAGGCAGCATGAGGAAGTGGGAGGATGGGAGTTACAGAGAATTTCTGATGTAGACAATGAGCTTCTTTTCTTTTTCTTAAGGGATTTCCACAATCCTCCACTTTGTGGTATTGGGGACAGTGGTAATGACAGGGTGGGAAGGGCAGAAGAGGCTTATTTCAAGAGGAAGCAGTAAAAGGTGGGCCTGTGAGGACCTGTTTAGCAGGCTTTAACATCCTATGTACAAGTCCTTATCTTTTGAAGTGCTCTCCTGATCCAGGCCCTGCTTATCATTATTCACAAATTTCAGTGTCTGAAATAATCCAGAAGGTGGACAATCAGACATCCACAGATTAATTGATGATTTATACTTATTCTCCCTCTCTCCCCACTCTCTCTCCCTTTCTCTTCTCTCTCTCCTCCTCTCCCTCCCCTCCCTCCCTCCCCCTCTCTCCTTCTCCATCTCTCCCTCTCCATCTCTCCCTCTTCATCTCTTCCTCCCCTTCCCTCCCCTCCCCTCTCCCTCTTCATCTCTTCCTCCCCTTCCCTCCCCTCCCCTCTCCTTTCTGTCTCTCTCAGCTCCAAAAAAGAATGATACAGAGATGCATAACACTCCTCTCTCTCCCATCTGAAAATTTAGGGATGGGGTGGGGTCCTAAGAAGCTAGCCTTAGAATCTCTTCCTCTTACTGTGGTTTCCTTAACCCTCCATCATCTCATAACTAATGATAAGTCTGAAAATGAGCTTCCGTATTAATTCTCATTATTCTGACAACAGACTCTAGAATCCAGCCATATTCTACTGTTTGGAGCCAGCCAGGGACTTTCCAAGTATTCACAGTGAAACACTGGCTTCCATGCCTGGGTCTCCCCACCCACTGCCTCTGCACTTGGTGCCTTTGAACCTCTCTTGTTCCTCTTGCCCTTGCTACTTCTGTATAGATCACAAGCTCCCTCCACACAGCTTCAGTTACACACATCCGTGCAGCAGGACCTTCTCAGGGGCTTAGTCTGCCAGAAACTAGTGACACTGCCTTTCACCCACTTTTTATTGGATAGAGAGAAATGTTACCAGAATTTCCCAGGAAAAGAGCTTCTTTGAAGTCTCTACATGCATTCAGATAAATCCTTTCCCCTGATATTTTCCCTCCATCCCCCTCCTCACAGCCCTGTTCAGAAGCCTGAACATGTCATGATGGCTGGGGCCTCAAATCCAGGGGACAATCTGAGGTGAAGGTGAGCAAGGAGACAGTCTACAAAGAGGCCGTGGAAGCTGTCGGGGAAGGAGAATGTTCAAGTAGCACAGGCAATCAAACACTTCCTATTGCTCCAGGTGCCAAAGCAGGAATGAAAACCTGTCCCCTCTGTTGAATACTCTTCTTCTTCACTCCTAAAACTACACACCTGATGTTAGTCGTCAGCCCTCTTCTTATCACTCTACACCTGCTGCTCTGGAGAACTCATCCAGGCCTGTGGCTCCCTGCACGTCTACACTAGTAACCTCTGAATCCACGGTCTCCAGCACTCCCTCCTGCTCCCATCCCCAGGTGGCAGTCAGGTGCCTGCACTTGGCTATCTCAACATCAACATCACCCCAACACCTGTTTTTTCATGCATTCAAGGGAGATTTTTTTTCTCCCCAAGTTTCTTTCACCTTCCCTTTGGGGTTCCTGGAATAAATAATACAAAACTTGAGGTTCTCTTGTGATGCTGTTTGGAGTCGAGAGAGAGACAGAGAGAGAGAGATACCCCCAGGAGGGAGTTGTCCCGATTCTTTTCCATCACTCGGGAGCTAGCCCTACATCTAGTCTTACTGTTTGGAGCCTTATAAAAAGATCTCATGAGCAGCCCCCTGGGAATAGCATGTCTTTGTTCTCTGAGAGGCAATGATTTTTATCTGGACCCCACATAACTTTTCCCCAGAGAGCATCACAGTAAAAGCACATGTTTATCTTCTCTCCTTAACTTCTGACATCCTTAAATCCCAAGGAAGGGTATGGAGGGAGACAGATTGATGATTCTGTGTATTTGGGTAAACCAGGTTCCTGGCTAAAATCACTTAGTCAAAAATGCCAAGCATGGTCAAGGGAGAAGGGTTAGAGAGTCTAAAAGAATGAAATTTGGAGACAGGTAAACTTGAAATTTATTCTTTCCTTCACCTATTATTGTGTATGTGATTTGGGGTCATATTCTTAACTATAACTACCTATTGTCTCATCTTAGAATAAGGATAAATAATATCTATGTTGAAACACTGCTGTGAGCATTAGTGCTCAATAACTATTACTACTGTACTAATGCAGGTTCTTGATTTTAAACAATAGAATGCAAACTTGAATAATTAAGCAGAAAAGGCATTTATTGGAAAGGAACTAAACAGCTCATAGAGGATATGACAAAGGCAGGAGTTCTTCATAGTTGATATTGTATCTCCGTGCATTGAATCAGGAGACACATGATGTTGATTTGTTCTGTTATCAGTGATGCTAATTTTGACTACTTGATTTTAGTGGTAACTGACAGATTTTTTCAACCATAAAGTTACTATTTTCATTGCTTGATTTTCGTATATTAAACTTACCCTGTGATGCTAATTTTGACTACTTGATTTTAGTGGTAACTGACAGATTTTTCAACCATAAGTTACTATTTTCATTGCTTGATTTTCATATATTAAACTTACCCTATGTTCATAGAATAAACTCAACTTGGTCATTATTTTACCTAGTGTTATATTTAATTGACTAATAGATCTTTTAGGAGTTTTGTATCTGTGTTTAAAAATGAGATGAGCCTTACTTTTGCTTTTTTGTTTTTGTTTTTGCTTCATGCTTATGAGGATTTGGCATATTGCTGCATGAGTTGAGAAATGTTCCTTTATTCCCCCGTCTTTTGGAATCGCTTGTGTAAGGTTAGCAAATGCCTTCACTGAATATTTAGAAGAATTCACCCAATAAGATCATCTTTGCCTACAGATTTCTTTGTGGAAAGTTTTGTAATTACCAACTCAATTTCTTTAATAGATACAGGATTATGAAAATTTTTCTATTATTTCTTGAGTTCATTTTAGTAAGTGGTGTTTTCTAGAATATGTCTATTTCATCTAGCTTTTCAAATTTGTCAGCATAAAGTTATTTATAATATTTTCTATTGTAATTTTAATGTCTACAGGACCCATAATGACAGTACCTTTTTCATTCCTGATATTGGAATTTCATGCCTTCTGTCTTGTTTTAAAATCTTCCACAGTCTTGCTAAAATTTTATCAATCCTATTAGTCTTTTCAAAGAAACAAGCCTTTAGTGTTGTTGATGTTTTTCTACTGTATTATTATTTCCTATCAAATTATTTTCTTCTTTTATGTATATAATTCCCTTACTTTTACTTTTCTTGGGTTAAATTTGACATTCTTTTTCTAAGTATATGATTGATTTTCAGTATTTCTTTCTTTCCAATTAATTATATGCACTTAAGGTTGCATATAATTTTTGTCTAGACCTGACTTCAGCTTCATCTTATGTTATAATATTTTGTAATGCAAGTATAATTTGCAATATTTTCAATTTTCTTTCTTCCTTCCTTCTTTTCTTTTTCTTTCCTTTCCTTTTCTTTTCTTTCAAGACAGGGTCTCACTCTGTTGCCCTGGCTGGAGTGCAGTGGTGCTGTCATATCTCACTGCAGCCTTGGACTCCTGGGCTCAAGTGATCCTCCCACCTCAGCCTCCTAAGAAGCTAGGACCTCAGGCATGCAGCACCACACCAGCTAACTTATATTTTATTTTTCGTAGAGATAGGATCTCATCATGTGGTCCAGGCTGGTTTTGAACTTCCTAGGCTCAAGCAATCCTCTTGCCTTAGCCTCCCAAAGTACTGGGATTACAGGCATGAGCCACCACACCCAACTGATATTTTCAATTTTTTATTGTCAGGGATCTGATAATAATTAGATTTAATCTCTGATTATCTTCTTTGATCTATGGATTATTTTAATTTGTATTTCTTAATTTCTAAACTCTTCAAAATTTTTTGGTTATCTTTCTGTAATTGATCTCTAGCTCTGTTCTATTTTTGTCAAAGAACATTATAAAAGATAAAATACTTTGAAATATTGTATTCTTTTTCATTGTTTTAGTAGTTATGTTTTTCGAGAAATTTGTCTTTTTTTTTTTTGACAGGTTGCTATGTTGCCCAGGCTACAGTGCACGATAACCCCATACTCCTGGGTTCAGGCAATCCTCCTGCCTCAACTTCCCTAGTAGCTGGTACTACAGATGTGTGCCACCCTGCCCAGCACAAAATGTGTCCATTTTATCTAGATTATCTAATTGTTGGCACGCAATTGTACACAGTATTCCCTTATATTGTTTTTCATTTCTGTAAAGTGGTAGAAAGGTCTCATCTTTTATTCCTGATTTGAGTAATTCAATTCCTTTCTTTTTTTTCTTACTCAATCTAGCTAAAGTTTCCTCAGTTTTGATTCTTTAAAAGCAAAAACTTAGTTTTGTTGATTTTCTCTATCTTTTTCTATTTCCTAGTTCATTTATTCCCATTCTAACATTCCTTTCACTAGTTCTGGTTTGTCTTACTCATTTCTAATTTCTTTTCTTTTCTTTTCTTTTTTTGTTTGTTTATTTGTTTGTTTGAGACAGGGTTATTTTTTTGAGATGGAGTCTTGCTCTGTCACCCAGGCTAGAGTGCAGGGGCCTGATCTCCACACACTGCAACCTCCCCATCCCGGGTTCAAACGATTCTCCTGTCTCAGCCTCCCGAGTGGCTGGGGTTATAGGTGCCTGCCACCACGCCAGGCTAATTTTTGTATGTTTAGTAGAGATGGGGTTACATCATGTTGGCCAGGCTGATCTCAAACTCCTGACTTCAAGCAATCCACCCTCCTTGGCCTCCCAGAGTGCTGGGATTACAGAGTGAGCCACCGCACCCGGCCTCTTTTCTAATTTCTTAAAGTGGAAGGTTGTTACTGATTTGCAATTTTTCTTCTTTTTTAATGTAGGTATTTACAGCTATAACTTTCTCTTTTATCATTAAAATGTCCTTACTTTTCTCTAGTGGTATGTTTGTATTAAGGTCTATTTTGTCTGGCATTAGTGTAGCCACTCCAGCTTTCTTTTGGTTGCTCTTTACATGGTGTATCTTTTCCTGCCTTGTACTTTCAACCTCTTTGTAACTTTGTATCTAAGGTTTGTCTCCAGCAGAGAATATATAGTTGCATCATTTTTATTTTATCCATTCTGCTAACCTGTCTAAATTGAAATGTAATGTATTTATATTTAGTGTGATTACTGTAACATATTTTTATGTCTGCCATTTCATTGTTTATTTTCTATTTTTCTTATATCTTTTTTGTTCCTCTATTCCTCTATTACTGCTTTTTGTTGTGTTAAATAGACATTTTCTATGTATCATTTTAATTCACTTATCATTTCTTTTACTCTACATTTTTAGTTCCTCTACTTTTTTGTCTTAGTGACTACCCTACAGATTAAAATTAGCATATTAATAATCTAGTTTGTATTAATACCAACTTAATTTCAATAGTATACAAACACTTTATTTCTATACAGCTCTGTTCCCTACCCCCGTGCTGTTATTGTCATACAAATTATACCATTCTTACATGTGTGCCTATCAACACAGATTTATAAATATTGTTTGCTGAAGTTTTAAATTAAATAGGAGAAAAAGTCATTAAAAAGTACATTTATATTGTCTTTTATATTCACCTATTTCAGTTACCTTTTTGGTGTCTTTATTTCCTTACATGGATTTGACTATATTACACTATATTCTAGTGTCCTTTCACTTCAGCCTGAAAGTATTTTAGTACAGCTGTCTTGCTAATGATGAAATCTCTGTTTCTTTTTACCTGAAAATGTCTTAATTTCTCCTTCATTTAGAGTTTTTGGCTGACAGCTTTTCCCCTCAGCACTTTGAATAAGTCTTTCAATTGCATTCTAGCCTCCATGGTTCTCTTTCTTTCTCTTCCTTTCTTTCTTTCTCTCTCTCTCTCTTTCTTTTTATCTTCCTCTGTCTCTCTTTTTTATGTTTTTACTTTTTTCTTTTAAATAGGGATGGAGTGTTGAACTCCTACACTCAAGCAATCCTCCCACCTCAGCCTCCCAAAGTGCTAGGATTAAAGGCATGAGTCACCGCACCTGACCCTCCATGGCTTCTAATGAAAGATCATCTGTCAATCTTCTTGCTTGAATGTGATAAGTCATTTCTCTCTTAATGGTTTCAAGATATCTTTGTCTTCAACTTTCAACAGATTGATTACAATGTGTGTAGGTGTGGATCTCTTTGAGTTTATTCTACTTATAGTTCATTAAGATTCTCAGATATGTAGATTAACATTTTTTATCAAATTTGCAAAGTTTTCAGCCATTATTTCTTCAAATATTTTTTCTGGCACCCTTTTTTTCATTTTAGGACTACAGTTATACATATTTTGGTCTGCTTGATGGTGTTCTACAGGTCTCTGAGGATCTGTTCATTTTTCTTTTCCCATTTTTCTTCTTCTTCCTCAAACTGGATAATCAAAATTAACCTACATTTAACTTTGTTGATTATTTCTTCTGCCTTGCTCAAATCTGCTGTCAAGCCAGTCTGGTGAAATTTTCATTTCTGTTATTGTATTTTTCAACTCCAGAATTTCTATTTGGTTCTTTTCTTATATAATTCCTGTTGCTGTAGTCTCTATTGGGTGGTGAGACATCATTCATATGCTTGCCTTTAGTAAACATGATTTCCTTCCATTCTTTGAATATATTTTAAATGCTTATTTAATGTCTTTGTCTAGTAAGTCTAAATGCTGGGCTTCCTTAGAGACATTTTTTATTTATTAATTTCCCCCCTATGTACAGGCCATGCTTTATTATTTCTTTGCATGTCTTGTAATTTTTGTTGAAAACTAGATATTTTGTGTAATATAATGTGGCAACCCAGATAATGAGATTCTTCCCTCGCTTTCCCTTCTAGGGTTTGCTTTCATTGTTTGTTGTTGTTTTATTTTGTGACTTTTCTGAACAAATCTTGCAAAGTCTGATTCTTTGTTATGTGTAGCTATTACATTTTTTCTCAGTTAGCTTAGTGGTCACCTAATGTTTGAACAAAGGTTTCCTAAAATGCCTGGAATAAACATATCTCCTAGTCTTTCCTGGGGAGCTTTTTCTTTGTTTTGTGTTCCTATAAGAGAATACCTGAGATGAAGTAATTTATAAAGAAAAGAGGTTTATTTTACTCATGGTTCTGCAGGCTGGAAAGTTCAATATTAGACAGCTGATTTGGTGGCTTCTGCTGAGGTCCTTGTGCTGTGTCAAAACATGGCAGAGAAACAAAAGGAGAACGAGGTATATGTGAACAGGACAAAACAAGAGAGGCAAACTCACTTTATAACAACCCACTCTCAAGGGAACTTCATAACTAACCCAGTCTTTCAAGAAAGACACCAATCCAACTTAATGACCTAAGCACCTCTTAAAGGCACCATCTCCCAACACCACCAGATTGGGAACCAAGCCTCAAAATAAGTTTTGATGAGGACAAGCCATATTCAAACCACAGCAGGTTCTGTGTGCATGTTGGTGATACCTTCAACACTCAGCCAGACAGTTGACAACTCCACTTTACCCTTTATTTCCTCCTTGTACAGAGCACCAAGGCCAGTCCAAGAAGAAAGCTTACAATCTTCTCAGGTCTTTCCTAAGTATGCACCCCATCCTACATATGTACATGGCCTTCTAGATTTCCAGGAATATGATGGAAATAATCAAAGCCCCTTGGACATCTCATTTCCCAGATTTTCCCTTTAAGCTTTTTATTTAAT
This sequence comes from Homo sapiens, assembly GCF_000001405.40. Taxonomy (NCBI): domain Eukaryota; kingdom Metazoa; phylum Chordata; class Mammalia; order Primates; family Hominidae; genus Homo; species Homo sapiens. The sequence continues at coordinate 4,279,973 of NT_167245.2, forward strand.
CTCTTGTTTTCCTCAACTGTTATCCACTGCCTCAGGCAATTCGGTTGCCTTTAATTGTTTCCAATAAATATTTTCATGGAAAAGGATTTTTGCACCGGGCAAGTTCCCAATCAGGTCAAATGAGAACTACTTTGCAAATTGGGTATTCCAGGAAACCACCAGACAGGTAAAATAATGACAATTCTCTGATCACAAGGTTTTGGAAAAGCCCCAGCTCTGTTCTGCTCCCTCCAGGCTGCTGATTTTCACCATGATTACAGCTTGTTGGTTCTCAAGTCTACTGCAGAACCCGAGAGGACAGAATGGGAATTGTACAAGTTAAAATGTCACAAAACTGTTCTTATTGAGATTGCACCATTTTTCTTTAGTAAATGTTCTCTGGATTGCTGCAAGACTTTGGTTAATTTCCAGAGTTCTGAAAGAGTTGATTTTTTTTTCAATTTTTGTCACTTTTCTTGTTGCTTTTATGGAGAGGAGAGTTTTTGGAGGTTCTTACTTTGTTATTTTTGCCAATATTGACCCATCTATAGGAGTTTTTAAAAATTTATATCATCATTTTTTAGTTCTAGAATTTCTATTAATTCTTTTCTATACATTCTATTTCTTTAATAAAATTTTTCATTATGATTTCTATTATCTTTTTACATATTCATTATAGCTATTATAAAGTTTATCTCTAATCCAATAATTAAGTTATTCATTATTTTTCTCAGTGATGCACTTTTCTTCCAGAAGGAATTAGCCCTATCCTCTGTTAGGCATATAGAGTAGAAAATGATCCTTATTTTAATCTGGAATGGATCTGACTTGAAGCAGAGTTTAAGCTTTTTCTGGCTGTCATTGTCTACTGTTTCACTGACATCCTGATCCCTTAAATTTGGCAGCCCCAGATACCATTCTTTGTCTCTCCATGGCCATAAGTTGTTTGCTAGAATTATCAGTCTGTTGCTCTGCCCTAAAAATAAGATAATCTTTAGGAGTAAAGCAACTGGAGAATGTTGGCTCCTCTCTTGTTATCTTCTTTTCATGATCTTGTCTTCTCAAGCTGTCATCACCTTGAGAGTTTTATGATTCCCTCAAGCGTATATTTTTTGTAGTTTTTTTTCCTTTGAGAGGGGGTCTTGCTCTGTCACCCAGGCTGGAGTGCGGTGGTGTGATCATAGCTCACTGCAGACTCAGCTTCCTGAGCTCCAGTATTCAAGCAATCCTCCTGCCTCAGATTCCCAAGTAGCTAGGACTATAGGCATGGGCCACCATGCCCAGTTGATTTTTTATTTTTATAGAGTCTGGGTCTTGCTATGTTGCCCAAGCTGGTCTTAAGACTCCTAGGCTCAAGTGATCCTCCTGCCTTGGCCTCCTGAAGTGCTGGGATTACAGGTATGAGCCACTGTGCCTGGCCTATTTTTTGTGTTTTATCTGGCTTTACTCATTATTATTGGAAGGAACATTAATATTGTACAAGCTATTCCATCATAGCCAAAAAGAGGAAGGCAATCTACGGTATTGTTTTTTATTGACAACTGGGGATAGAATTGGAAACTCAGGTCTTTCTACTAGTCTCTTCCTTCATAATCTCTTATTTCAGAAGTGGAAGTTGATATTGGACATCTTCCAGTAGCCAAGTGTATATATTGCATTAATATAGTATGGATCTGGGAGATAACCGAATGATGTGTTATGACTACCATAATCTACCACTTTGACCAGCAAACCATAGTCACTCCTTGTTGGGAGAATACAATGGATCAAACATACATTATGTCTGGGACTAGAAGAAAAATAATTTTATTCCTCTTCAGTTACTATACGGTAATCATTAATCTTAGATACTCCTAGAATTAATGACACTCATTAACCAGTTTATCATTGATGTCATTGTTGTCATAGTAAATTAGAAATGAGGGATTATCTTCATCAATGTCAGTATTTCAAGTAATACCAGCAAGAAATTAATAATAACCTGTATAGATGTGCTTGGGCAGATTCATTTGAGGCTGGGGAGAGAGAATAGCCAAGTACATCAAGTACATGGTCTGGTAAAAGTAAGGCGTCCAGTATGGCTAAAGTGTAGTGTACAATAGCGTGACAGAGAGTAAATGACTAGAATAATGAGTTGATGCCTTTTATTTACTACTTCTCTGCCTCTCGCTGGGTAGAGAGGAGGTAAACAATATCAAATGTTGGCAAGTAACAATATCTTATTATGGCTTTACATTGAAGAATCAAGGCCTATAGTGATTAGTAAGCACATAAAACACAATATTGAGAGTTCTAAGATCATTAGTATAAGAATCAGTCATCCTTAGTTTAAACCTATCTATGTCCCTGATTAAGCCCGTGTAATAATTTAACTATGCATGGAGTGAATGTAAAGCCATAAATACATTTTCTACCTTGTGTATCCCCAACTTAACTTTCCCTTATTTGAATCTCTGAAATATCTATGGTCACTCTATTGCCGCCTAACAAGGGGCAAAATGTATGATGGATGAGAAGTCAGAATGAAGAAATACAACAGTCTTAACAATTTGCTGTTAAATTATCTTACTTTTTGCAGATTGTACAAAAATATATGATGTTAAAAGGCTCCTGCAAGAAGGGGTCCCGAATATTAAGTCTTTTTAGATTAAAGGTAAGTCAGCCTCTGTATAAGGACAATTTCATTCCTATACTTGCTCTTATTTTCTTTCCTTTTTCTCTGGATTTGGCTCTCTCCTATCTTCTTTTTCTTGTCACTCTATTTATTCATCTTTTTTTTGCCTATTTACCAACTGGTTGTAATTTAGAAATGAAAAATATGTATCTTAATATTTTGATGTATTCATTTACGTAATAATGTAAGTTCTGAAGATTTGGAATGTATAAGTGAAAATGTCATTATGCTTTGTTTCTGTAAAATAAAAACTAAACTACATGTTTGGGTTGGGGGCTTTGGTTTTTGTTTTTAGTTCTAAAATTTTTTGATACATTATATTTGAACATATTCATGGGTTATATGTGATATTTTGTTACATGCATGCAATGTAATGATGAAGTCAGGGTGTTTAGGGTATCTATCACCCACAATTTATCATTTTTATGCATTGAGTACATTTCAAGTCCTCTCTTCTAGTTTTTTTGAAAAATACTACACATTGTTGTTAACTATAGTCACCCTACTCTGCTATCAAACACTGGAATTTATTCTTTATATTAGTATAGGTTCATAACCATTAACCAACATCTCTGTATCTCCGTCCACTTCCTAGTCTCTGGTATCTATCATTCTACTCTCTACCCTGATGTGATCAACTTTTTAAACTCCCACATACGAGTGAGAACATGTGATATTTGTTTTTTTGTGCCTGGCTTATTTCACTTAACATTATGACGTCCACTTCCATCCATGTTACTGCAAATGACATGATTTCATCTTTTTAAATGGCTGAATACTTTCATTGTCTATATATACTACATTTTCTTTATCCATTCATCCATTCATGGACCCTTAGGTTGATTCCATATCTTGGCTCTTGTGAATAGTGCTGCAATAAAGAATGTGTGTATCCCTTTGATACATTACTTTCTTTTCCATTTGGATAAATACTAATTAGTGAGATTGCTTGATTGTGTAGTAGTTCTATTTTTAGTTTTTTGAGAAATCTCCATATTATTTTCCATAGTGGCTGTACTTACTTACATTCCAAGCAATGGTGAATAAGAGTTCCCTTTTCTCCATATCCTTGCCAACACCTGTGGTTTTTTTGTTTTGTTTGTTTGTTTGTTTTGTCTTTTTCATAGTAGCCATCCCAACTGGGGTAAAATGATATCTCATTGTGGTTGTTTGTTTTGCTTTTGTAGTGATGGGATCTCACTACTTTGCTTAGGCTGGTCTCAAACTCCTGGCTCAAGCGATCCTCCCACCTTGGCCTCTGAAAGTGTCGGCATTACAGTCATGAGCCACTGTGGCCTGACTTCATTGTGGTTTTGATTTGCATTTCCCTGATGATTAGTAATGTTGAGCATTCTTTCATGTACCTGTTGACCATTTATATGTCTTCTTTTCTTTCTCTTGCTCTCTCTCATTTTTCTTTTCTCAATGAAGAGAACAAATGCCTGTCTTCTTTTGGGAAATGTCTGTTCATGTTCTTTGCTCATTTTAAAAATGGGGTTATTAATTAATTAATTAATTAATTTAATTATTTATTTTTGAGACTAGATCTTGCCCAGGTTAGTGTGCAGTGGTCCCATAGTTCACTGCAGCATCAAATTCCTGGGTTCAAGCTATCCTTTTGCCTCAGTCCTTCAGCTGGGACTACAGGCTCATGTCACCATACCAGGCTATTTGGTTCTTTTTAATTTTAGTAAGAGACTGAAGTCTAGCTATGCTTCCTGGGCTGATCTTGAACTCCTGGACTCAAGAGATCCTCCTGCTGTAGGCCCCCAAAGTGCTGACATTACAGGCATTAGCCACCACACCTGGCCAGGATTATTTATTTTTTTACTATGAAGATGTTTGATTTCCTTGTATATTCTGGATATTCATCCCCTGTTGGATGAGTAGCTTGCATATATTTTCTCCCATTTAAGAGGTTTTCTCTTCACCCTGTAGATTGTTTCTTTTGCTGTGCAGAAGCTTTTTAGTTTAATATAGTTCCATTTGTCCATTTTTGGTTTTGTTACTGGTGCTTTTGAGATCTTAGTCATAAAATCTTTGCCTAGACCTATTTCCTGAAGAACTTTTTCTATGTTTTCTTCTAGCAGATTTATAGTTTCAGGTATTACATTTAAGTCTTTAATCTATCTTGAGTTGATTTTTGTATATGGTGAGAAGTAGGGGTCCAGTTTCATTCTTCTGCATATGGTTATCCAGTGTTCCCAGCACCATTTATAGAAAAGGATGTCATATCCCCAATGAATATTCTTCATAGCTTCATTGAATGTAAGTCAGCTATAAATATGTGGATTTATTTCTGGGTTTTCTATTCTGTTCTATTCTTTTTTTAAAAAAATTTATTTCTATAGGTTATTGGGAAACAGGTGGTGTTTGGTTACATGAGTGAGTTCTTTAGTGAAGATTTTTGAGACTTTGGTGCACCCATCACCCAAGCAGTATACACTGCAACCAATTTGTAATCTTTTATCCGTCACCCCCTTCCCACCCTTTCCTGCAGAGTCCCCAAAGTCCATTGTGCCATGCTTATGCCTTTGCATCCTCATAGCTTAGTTCCCACTTATGAGTGAGAACATACGATGCCTGGTTTTCCCTTCCTGAGTTACTGCACTTAGAATAATAGTCTCCAATCTCAAACAGGTCACTGCAAATGCCATTAAATCATTCCTTTTTATGGCTGAGTAGTATTCCATCATATATATATATTCCATCATATATATATATATATTCCATCATATATATATATATTCCATCATATATATATATTCCATCATATATATATATTCCATCATATATATATATTCCATCATATATATATATATTCCATCATATATATATATTCCATCATATATATATATATATTCCATCATATATATATATATTCCATCATATATATATATATATATATTCCATCATATATATATATATATATATATATATCAAAGTTTCTTTATCCACTCATTGGGTTACTTCCACATTTTTGCAATTGTGAATCGTGCTGCTATAAATATGTGTATGCAAGTATCTTTTTTGTATAATGACTTCTTTTCCTCTGGGTAGATACCCAGTAGTGGGATTGCTGGATCAAATGGTAGTTCTACTTTTAGGACTCTTTAAGGAAACTCCACACTGTTTTCCATAGTGGTTGTACCAGTTTACATTCCCACCAGCAGTGGAAAATTGTTCTCTGTTCACCACATCCTTGCCAACATCTATTATTTTTTGATTTTTTGATTAAGGCCATTCTTTCAGGAGTGAAATGGTATTGCATTGTGGTTTTGATTTGCATTTTCCTGATTATTAGTGATGCTGAGCAATTTTTCTTATGTTTGTTGGCCATTTGTATGTCTTTTTTTGAGAATTGTCTATTCATGCCCTTAACTCATATTTTATGGGATTGTTTGTTTTTTACTTACTAATTTGTTTGGGTTCATTGTAGATTCTGGATATTAGTCCTTTGTCATATGTATAGATTGTGAAGATTTTCTCCCACTCTGTGGGTTATCTGTTTACTCTGCTGACTGTTCCTTTTGCCGTGCAAAAGCTCTTTAGTTTAATTAAGGTCTCAGCTATTTATCTTTGTTCTTATTGCATTTACTTTTGGGTTCTTGGTCATTAAATCCTTGCCTAAGCCAATGTCTAGAAGGGTTTTTCCGATGTTATCTTCTAAAATTCTTATAGTTTCAGGTCTTAGATTTATGTCCCTGATCTACCTTGAGTTGATTTTTGTGTAGAGTGAGAGACATGGATCCAGTTTTATTCTCCTACATGTGGCTTGCCAATTATCCCAGCTCAATTTGTTAAATAGGGTGTTTTTTTACCACTTTATGTTTTTGTTTGCTTTGTCAAAGATCAGTTGGCTGTAAGTATTTGGGTTTATTTCTGGGTTCTCTATTCTGTTTTATTGGTCTATGTGCCTACATTTATACCAGTACCATGCTGTCTTGGTGACTATGGCCTTATATTATATTTTGAAATCAGGTAATGTGATGCCTCCAGATCTGTTCTTTTTGGTTAGTCTTGCTTTGGCTATGTGGGCTCTTTTTTGGTTCCATATGAAATTTAGAATTGTTTTTTCTAGTTCTGTGAAGAATGATGGTGGTATTTTGATGGGAATTGCATTGAATTTGTGACTGCCTTTTGCAGTATAGTCCTTTTCACAATATTGATTCTACCCATCCATGAGCATGGGATGTGTTTCCATTTGTTTGTGTCATCTATGATTTCTTTCAGCAGTGTTTTGTAGTATTCCTGGTAGAGATTTTTAGCCTCCTTGGTTAAGTATATTCCAAGCATTTTTTAAATTTATTTTCGGGAAACTATTGTAAAAGGGATTGAGTTCTTGATTTGATTCTCAGCTTGGTCATTGGTGTATAGTAGTGCTACTTATTTGTATACATTTATTTTGTAACCTGAAAATTTGCTGAATTCATTTTTCGGATCTAGGAGCTTTTTGGATGAGTCTTTAGGGTTTTTGAAGTATATGATCATATCATTAGTGAACAGTGATGGTTTGACTTTCTCTTTACCTATTTGTATGTCCTTTATTTCTTTCTCTTGTCTGATTATTCTGGCTAGGACTTCCAATCCTATGTTTTGTCTTTTTTTTTTTTAATTTGTAACTTCCCTTTTCTTTTTCTTTTTTTATTTTTATTATTATTATACTTTAAGTTTTAGGGTACATGTGCACAATGTGCAGGTTAGTTACATATGTATACATGTGCCATGCTGGTGTGCTGTACCCATTAACTTGTCATTTAGCATTAGGTATATCTCCTAATGCTAACCCTCCCCCCTCCCCCCACCCCACAACAGTCCCCAGAGTGTGATGTTCCCCTTCCTGTGTCCATGTGTTCTCATTGTCCAATTCCCACCTATGAGTGAGAACATGCGGTGTTTGGTTTTTTGTCCTTGCGATAGTTTACTGAGAATGATGATTTCCAATTTCATCCATGTCCCTACAAAGGACATGAACTCATCATTTTTTATGGCTGCATAGTATTCCATGGTGTATATGTGCCACATTTTCTTAATCCAGTCTATCATTGTTGGACATTTGGATTGGTTCCAAGTCTTTGCTATTGTGAATAGTGCCGCAATAAATATACGTGTGCATGTGTCTTTATAGCAGCATGATTTATAGTCCTTTGGGTATATACCCAGTAATGGGATGGCTGGGTCAAATGGTATTTCTAGTTCTAGATCCCTGAGGAATTGCCACACTGACTTCCACAATGGTTGAACTAGTTTACAGTCCCACCAACAGTGTAAAAGTGTTCCTATTTCTCCACATCCTCTCCAGCACCTGTTGTTTCCTGACTTTTTAATGATCGCCATTCTAACTGGTGTGAGATGGTATCTCATTGTGGTTTTGATTTGCATTTCTCTGATGGCCAGTGATGGTGACCATTTTTTCATGTGTTTTTTGGCTGCATAAATGTCTTCTTTTGAGAAGGGGTGAAAGTCAGCATTCTTGTCTCCTTCCAGTTCTCAAGGGGAATGCTTTCAACTTCTCCCTGTTCAGTATAATTCTTTCTGTGGGTTTGTCATAGATGGCTTTCATTAAGTTGATGTATGTCCCTTCTATGCCAATTTTGCTCAGGGTTTTAATTATAAAGCGATGGTAAATTTTGTCAAATGTTTTTTCTGTGTCTTTTGAGTTGATGATGTGATTTTTGTATTTAACTGTGTTTATGTGATGTATCACATTTATTGACTTGCATATGTTAAACCATCCCTGCATCCCTGGTATGAAACCCACTTGATCATGGCGTATTATCTTTTTGACATGCTGTTGGATTCAGTTAGCTAGTGTTTTGTTGAGGATTTTTGCACCTATGTTCATCAGGGATATTGGTATGTGGTTTTCCTTTTTTTCTGCCTATTCCCAGTTTTAGTGTTAGGGTGATACTGGCTTCATAGAATGAATTAGGGAAAATTCTCTCTTTCTCTATCTTTTTGAATAGTTTCAGTAAGATTGATACCAATTCTTCTTTGACTGTCTGATAGAATTCAGCTGTGAATACATCTGGTCCTGGACTTTTTCTTTTGGGCAGTTTTTAAATTATTATTTTAATCTCACTACTTGCTATTGGCCTGTTCAGAGTTTCTATTTCTTCCTGATTTAATCTAGGAGGGTTGTATATTTCCAAGAATTTGCCCATCTCCTCTAGACTTTCTAGTTTGTCTGCATAAAGGTGTTCATAGTAGCCTTCAATGATCTTTTGTATTTCTGTGGTATCGGTTGCAATATCTCCTGTCTCATTTCTAATTGAGCTTATTTGGATCTTCTCTCTTCTTTTCTTGGTTAATCTTGCTAATGGTCTGTCAATTTTGTTTATTTGTTCAAAGAACCAGCTTTTCATTTCATTTATCTTTTGTATTCTTGGTTTCAATTTCATTTATTTCTGCTCTGAAATTTATTTCAATTTCATTTATTTCTTTGCTATTTATTTTATTCTGATGGGTTTGGGTTTGGTTTGTTCTTGTTTCTCTGGTTCCTTGAAGGGTGACCTTAGATTGTCTATGTTGACTTTTTGATGTCTAGATTGACTTTTTGATGTAGGCATTTAATGCTATGAACTTTCCTCTTAGCACCACTTTTGCTGTCTCCCAGAGTTTTTGTTTTTGTTTTGTTTTGTTTTTTTGAGAGTTTCGCTCTTGTTGCCCAGGCTGGAGTACAGTGGCACAATCTTGGCTCACTGCAACCACCACCTCCTGGGTTCAAGCAATTCTCCTGCCTCAGCCTCCCGAGTAGCTGGGATTATAGGCACACACCACCACACCCGGCTGATTTTTGTATTTTTAGTAGAGATGGGGTTTCATCATGTTGGCCAGGCTGGTCTCGAACTCCCGACCTCAGGTAATCCACCCACCTCGGCCTCCCAAAGTGCCAGGATTACAGGTGTGAGCCACCGTGCCCGGCCTTCCTAGAGTTTCTGATAAATTGTGTCACTATTATGGTTCAGTTCAAAGATTTTTAAAATTTCCATCTTGATTTCATTGTTGACCTAAAGATCATTCGGGAGCAGATTATTTAATTTCCATGTATTTGTATAGTTCTGAGAATTCATTTTGGATTCAATTTCCAGTTTTATTCCACTGTAGTCTGAGAGGGTACATCATATAATTTTGATTTTCTTAAACTTATTGAGACTTGTTTTGTGGCCTACCATAACGTCTGTCTTGGAGGATGTTCCACATGCTGATGAAAATAATGTATATTCTGCTGTTGTTGAGTAGAATGTTCTGTAAATATCTGTTAAGTCCATTTGTTCTACAGTGATATGGTTTGGATCTGTGTCCCCACCCAAACCTCACCTTGTAGCTCCCATAATTCCCACGTGTTGTGGGAGGCACCCTGTGGGAGATTACTGAATTATGGGGGTGGGTCTTTCCAGTGCTGTTCTTGTGACAGTGAATGGGTCTCAGTTGATCTGATAGTTCTGAAAACGGAGTTGCCCTCACAAGCTCTCTCTTTGCCTGCCACCATCCAAGGAAGATGAGACTTGCTCCTCCTTGCCTTCCACCATGATTGTCAGGCTTCCCCAGCCATGTGGAACTGTAAGTCCAATTAAACCTTTATCTTTTGTAAATTGCCCAGTCTCAGTTATGTCTTTATCGGCAGTGTGAAAACAGAATAATACAGTAAATTGGTACCGGTAGAGTGGGGCACCACAGAAAAGATACCCAAAAATGTGGAAGTGACTTTGGAACTAGGTAACAGGCAGAGGTTGCAAGAGTTTGGAGGGCTCAGAAGAAGACAGGAAAATGTGGGAAAATGTGGAACTTTCTAGAGACTTGTTGAATAATGATATGGACAATGAAATCCAGGCTGAGATGGTTTCAGATGGAGATGAGGAACTTGTTGGGAACTGAAGCAAAGGTGACTCTTGTTATGTTTTAGCAAAGACACTGGTGGCATTTTGCCCCTGCCCTAGAGATTTGTGGGACTTTGAACTTGAGAGAGATGATTTAGGGTATCTGGCAGAAGAAATTTCTAAGCAGCAAAGCATTCAAGAGGTGACTGGAGTGCTGTTAAAAGCATTCAGTTTTAAAAGGGAAACAGCATAAAAGTTTGAAAAATTTGCAGCCTGACAATGCGATAGAAAATAAAATCCCATTTTCTGAGGAGAAATTCAAGCCAGCTGCAGAAATTTGCATAAGTAACAAAGAGCCAAATGTTAGTGCCCAAAACAAGTCCCTTCCGCTGCTTCCTCTACCCCTGTGTTTCCCTCAGCTTCTAAATGGACTCAGCTCCAGTTCAGGTCAGAATCTTCTCCCATGATCTACACCTTCAGGTTCCCCAGTGAGGTATGCATTCAAGGGTGGAAGATCCCCCTTTCCCACCTCCACAGTTTGGGCACTCACAGTATTTGGGATGTCTCCCAGGTCCTGCAGGAGCAATCTGCTCCCTTCAGAGGGTCTGTGGGTTCTCTCAGCTTTCCCAGTCATTCCTGCAATAGGTCTGGAGCAAAAGTTCATGATGCAAGACTCCACAAGCTGCTCTGTCCATCCAAGTTGGAGGGGCAATGTATAATGCCTCCCATCCACCATGATTCTGTCCCCTATTCTGTTGTATTCTATTGGTCTATGTGTCTGTTTTTTATACCAGTACTCTACTCTTTTGGTTACTACAGCCTTGTAAAATGTTTTGAACTCAGGTATTGTGATACTTCCAGCTTTGTTCTTTTTGCTCAGGATGGCTTTGCCTATTCAGGATCTTTTATGGTTCTATACAAATTTTAGGATTGTTTTTTATATTTTTGTGGAAAGTGACATTGGTATCTTGATAGGGATCACATTAAATCTGTAGATTGCTTTGGGCCATATGGTCATTTTAATGATATTAATTCTTCTGATCCATTAGCATGGAATTTCTTTCCATTTGTTTGTGTCCACTTCAATTTCTTTCATCAGTGTTTTGTAGTTTGCCTTGTAGGGATCTTTCATCTCTTTGGTAAAATTTATTCCAAGTATTTTATCATATTTTTTGTAGCTATCATAAATGGAATTCTCTTCTTCATTTCTTTTTCAGCTATTTCATTGTTGGTGAATAGAAATGCTACTTATTTCTGCATATTAATTTTGTATCCTGCCAAGTCTACTGAATTGGCTTATCAGTTCTAAGAGTGTTCTGGTGGAGTGTTTGGTTTTTCTAAATATAAGATTATTTTGGAACTTGCTTTATGAGCTCTTGCCAGGAAGATGGCAGATAGGAGACAGGGCTGATGTGCAGCCCCCCTTGGATAGATAGAATAGTACTATGTTGAGTAGGAGGGGTGAACATGTGTATACTTGTCTTTTCCCAGTTCCTAAAGAAAAAGCTTTCAACTTTTCACCATTCTGTATGATGTTAGCTGTGGGTTTTGTCACATAGAGCCTTTATTATATTAAGGCATGATCCTTTTATGCCTAGTTTGTTGAGAGTTTTTATTACGAAAAGGTGTTGAATTTTATCAAATGCTTCTTCTGCATTTATTGAGATAGTCATATGGATTTTGGCCTTCATCATGTTGATGTGATGTATCACATTCATTGATTTGTGTATGTTGAAATATCCTTGCATCCTTGCTGTAAATCCTACTTGATCACATTATATTATTGTTTTGATCTACTGTTGGATTCGGTTTGCTCCTATTTTGGTAAGTATTTTTCCATCTGTATGTATCAGGATATTCACCTGTAGTTTTCTTTCTTGGAGCATCCTTGTCTGGGTTTGCCATTAGGGTAATGCTAGCCTCACAGAATGAGTTTGGGAGAATTCCCTCTTCTTCAACTTTTTGGACCAGTTGGAGGAAAATCGGTGGTGGTTCTCTGAAAGTTTGGTGGAATTCATCAGTGAAACTATATGCTCTTGGATTTTTCTTTTTTGGGAGATTTTTTATTACTGATTCCATTTCAGTACTCAGTATTAGTCTGTCCAGATTTTCTTTCTTCCTGATTCAATCTTGGTAAGTTGTATGTTTCCAGAAATTTATCCATTTCCTCTTGTTTCTCCAGTTTGTTACCATATATTTGTTCATAATGGTTTCTGATTATCTTTTGTATTTATGTGGGATCTGTTGTAATAGCTTCTTTTTCATTTATGATATGGTTTACTTGGGTATTCTCTTTTCTTTTCTTGGTTAGTCTAGTGTGGGGGTTCAGTCAGGATGGTGGGAGAAATTGTAAAATTATAGGATATAGACACAAACCTTCTTGGAAGGCCGGAAGGTATTTGCAAAAGTCTCAAGATAGGGTTATGGCTGAAAGCAGCGTAATCCTTACCTTGAGTTAATTGCTTGGGGCACAGATACAAAGGAACATTTATCTAAATAGCTTGTTTACTCATGTGGTCGTAAGACCAACATTTGATCAACTGCAGATGCATAATTGCTCTCTACTTGGGGGGGTCGGCAAACAGGTCAATTGCCCTCTAGTGGTGTGAACAAATGCGAGCTTTGCTGGTTGATCAGGGCCATAGATGCAACTCTTTACAGCACCTTCCTTGGTGTCTGTGTGTGGCCTGGACCCTCAGCTGAACTGACAAGCAAGATATCTGTGTCAGTGTACACCTCTCATCCATTACTGGGTCAGGGTCTGTAGGTCAGACTACCACAGCTGGTGCCCCGCGTGAGGAATGCTGCAAAGGGAGATTGATGAACCCCCTGAAAATGAAGGTGAAAAAGGAACTGCGCAGTCAGTGAGTAATCAGTAAGTCATTGGTACTTGCTTGGGATTTCCAAGTTCGGGGCGGGGGATTGTTCAGGCTAAGGTTTCATCATGGGACAACAGTTATCAGCTCAACAGAAACAGTATATAAAAGTATTGAAATGGCTGCTTAAAGCTAGCAGAGCCTCAGTTTCACAGGTTTAATTAAGGAACCTAATGCAAACTGTTGTATCCCATAACCCATGGTTCCCCCAAGAAGGCATGCTAGACCTAGAGCTCTGGGAACGAGTGGGAAAAAATCTTAAGCAACATCATGTTCAAGGGTAACGGGTCCCAGTATCATCTTTAATGCTATGGGCCTTAGTAAGGGCGGCTTTGGTCCCATTATACACAGAAGAGCCTAAAAAGGGGAAGGACAAGGCACCATCATGTATTTTACCACCCGCAAGTTCCTCAGCCCTGATATCACCAGGCCAAAATAACAAAGAGGAAATGGAGGTTTTGCCTGAGCCCCCTCCTCCAATAGATAGGAAAAAAGACAGGAGACATGCTCCAGCTATGGGACCTTGTCTTAAGCAAGTGGCATTGGAAGGGGAGCTCTTAGCCTGCCTGGTAATGCAAGACCGACAAGGCAATCAGGTACATGAACCCATTTCTTTTAATGCTTATAAGGAGCTAAGAAAAAGCATTAAAGAAAACAGAGCTGCTAGCCCATTTATGAAAGGAATGATTGAGGCCTTGGCAGACCACTTTTCTATGACCCCATGGGACTGGGCAATGCTAACCAAAACAACTTTGGAGCCTAGCCAATACCTCCTCTGGAAGGCAGAATATGATGAGCTGTGTGAACAATAAGCTAACCAGAATCAGGCGACGGGGCAAGACCTAACAGCTGCTATGCTCCAGGGGAAGGATCCCATGCCTATGTACAACGACTAGATTTTGATTCCCCAGGCCTAAAATCAAGTGTCTTTGTGTGCTCTCAGGGCTTGGGACTGAATTCCTGAAAGTGGAGTTTAGCAGGGATCTTTTATAAATGTTCAACAAGGGCCTCAGGAGCCATTTGTTGAGTTTTTCAATTGGTTAACCCAGGCAATTAAGAGACAAATTAGTCACACCCAGGCTGCTGATATCTTATTGTTGCAATTGGCTTTTGAAAACTCTCATGTGGATCACCAGCAGGCAATGCAGGCAATCAGAGGAAAGGCAGCCACAGTCGGGGAACTTATATGAGCATGTCAGCTGGTGGGAACTGAGACACACAAGCCAAAATATTGGTTATGGCATTAAGGCCTCCTAAAGTGAAAAGGGAGAGAAGCCAAAGTTGTTTTCTATGTGGAGAGCCAGATCATATGAAGAGGGAATGCCCCCATAATAGAGACGAAGGTAACTCAGGGAAAGAACCCCCTTCTATATGCCCCGGATGTAAAATGGTGAAACATTGGGCAAATCAATGCAGGTCAAAATTTGATAAAAACAGAAACCCCATAAGTAACCAGGTGGGAAACTTCATGACGGGCTGGCCCTAGGCCCTGCTTCAAACTGGGGCAATCCCACCAGCTTTCCTCGGTCTGATGGAGAGCTCACAGTCCTCTCTCTCAGAGCAGCCACCACTGGGAGTGCAGGACTGGACTTACTCTGCCCCAACAAATCAGTGCTGAAAGAAGGAGAAGACCCTAAAAGGGCTGCATACGGGATCTGGGGCCAGCTGCCTCCAGAAGCAGTGGGATTAGTCCTAGGGCGGTCTAGCCTGTCCAGTAAAGGAATTAATGTGCTCACTGGGGTAATTGGTAGTGATTACCAAGGTGAGATATTGGTTATGATGGAATGTAAAGGTCTGAATATTCTTCCCCCTGGATCAAAGATAGCTCAGTTACTGATTTTGCCATACTGGGTCCCCAGTGCCCACGGAAAGGAAAGGGGAAAGGAAGTTTTGGGAGCACAGGAGCCACAGGAGTATATGGGAATCAATTAATCACTGATCAGAGACCCATGATTATCTTAAAAATTGGAAATAATAATTTTACTGGCTTATTGGACACAGGGGTGGACGTTTCAATCATTAGTGATCAAAACTGGCTAGAAATTTGGCCTTGGGTCACTCAGAAATAAAAAATGGTCTGCATCAGGGAAGCACACAGAGCCAAGCAGAGCATGCACTCCCTAACCTGTTGCAATTCAGAAGGAAGAAAGGCAGTTATACAACCCGTAAGCATGCGCATCCCTGTTAATCTTTGGGGACAGGATTTATTAGCCCAATGCGGGAGGGGTGACTCTCAGCCCCCTTTATAACAATGGCCACTGTTATTATTCCTCCCCTACCCCCGTCGTAGCTCTCTCAAGATCCAATTTGAGTAGAACAGTGGCCTCTGAAGGGAGAGAAATTACAAAAAGCCTGTGAATTAGTTGAAGAGCAATTAAAAGCTGGGCATGTAGAACCATCTATTTGTCCTTGGAATTTGCCCATTTTCATCATTCCCAAAAAGTCTGGGAAATGGAGATTTTGCATGACCTATGTGCTGTTAATGCTAATTTGCAACCTATGGGACCCCTTCAACAGGGCCTCCCATCCCCTGTGGCGATTCCTCGAGATTGGCCTATAATCATTATTGACTTAAAGGACTGCTTTTATATGATTCCCCCAGCAGAACAGGACAGAGAAAAATTTGCATTTACAATACCAGCTATCAATAATGAAAGGCCAGCTTGTTGATTTCATTGGAATGTGCTTCCTCAAGGGATGCTAAACAGTCCTACCAAGTGTCAGTATCATGTAAATCAAGCTTTGCTCCCAGTAGAAAAGAATTTCCTAATTGCAAGATTATTCGTTTTATGAATATTTTACCAGCAACCCCAACAGAGCCAATACTTTTAAATTTATATACCTCTGTCATAAAGAATAAACAGCTAAGAGGTTTAATCATTGCACCTGAAAAAGTACAACTTTCTCTCCTTGGAAATATATCTTGGGTACATGCTAACTTCCTGGTCAGTAAGACCTCAAAATGTTAAATTAAATACTAGCAACTTACATTCCTTAAATGATTATCAGAAATTACTAGGTGATATCAACTGGCTCTGCCCCACTTTAGGCATTCCTACTTATAAGCTGCAAAACCTGTTTTCTATCTTAAAGGGCAATATAGCCCTGAATTCTCCCAGATATTTAAACCCTGCAGCAAAAAGGGAAATTGAGGAAATAGAACAAGCCATCTCTCAGAGGCAACTAGATCACATAGACACCCATTATTTCATCCAGTTGTTTATTTTCCCCACCAAACACTCCCCTTCAGGATTAATAGGACCGATGACCCCAGGACTGCGCTTTCTAGAATGGATTTTTTTTTGCTCACATACCAGGACTAAAACACTCTTTCCCTACATTCAGTTAATTAGTAAAGTCGTATATTCAGGCCTCAAACAATGCAGTCAGTTGCTAGGCTATGATCCTGATATCCTGAAATCATCAGGATTCCTTTAAGTAAAAAGCAATTAGAAGCAGTTTTGTCCCTATTGTTAGATCTGCAAATAGCTCTCTCTGATTACACAGGACAAATAGAGCATGTTCTTCCTGCTGATAAATTCCTTCATTTCTTATCTCATACTCCTGTGATCTTGCCTACAAAAATAGTTCACTCCTCCATACCTAATGCTTTAACATTGTTTTCTGATGATTCAGGCAAACATGGAAAGGCGGCAATCTGGTGGAGACCACATAATTCACTCACTCAATCTGGGTTTACTAGCATTCAGAGAGGTGAGATCGGGGCCCTGATATTGGCCTTGGAAACTTTTTCTACTCAGCCATCAATATAGTTAGTGATTCTGCCTACTTTGTTTATTTATTGCAAAATCTTGAAGCAGCCGTAATTAAGTCCACTCTGGAGCCTGCCCTGTGTGCTCTTTTTCTCTGATTTCAGCAATTGCTAGATCAATGTACACATCCTATTTTTATTACACACATTCGAGTCCACAGCTCACTGCCTGGCCCACTGGCTTATGGCAGTGATCAAGGAGACCTTCAGGTGATGACATCACTGCTTGACCAAACCACCCAATCGCATCAATTTTTCCACCAAAATTGGAGAAACTTATCTAAGCAATTTCAACTTACCCAGAGACTGGCTAAACAAATTATCCCACAATTCTCAAATTGCCAGCTAACAGGCATGTCCCCTCTTTCAAAAGGTGTTAACCCTAGAGGATTAGAACCTAATCAGTTATGGCAAATAGAAGTTACATCCCTGAAATTGGAAAACTAAGATATGTACATGTATCCATTGATACCAGCACTCATCTAATTAGTGCACACGCTCTTCCTTGGAGAGTCCACTCAATATGTCATTAAACATCTTCTTTCAACTTTTGCATGTATGGGGCGGCCCATAAAAATTAAAACTGATAATGGTCCAGTTTATGCCAGCTCACAATTTCAACAATTTTGTCACACGTGGAATATCCAACGTTCCATAGGCATCCCGTATAACCCCCAAGGACGGGCCATAGTAGAACGTGCCCACTCCAGCCTTAAAAATATGCTCAAAAAACAGAAAAGGGGGAGTATGGGTAAAGACCCTGCAACACTATTGGCACAAGCCTTATTTACCCTTAATTTTTAAAATGTAGATGACAAATTTCAATCAACTATAGAGAAACACTTTTTGCTAAAACCTCTCAAGACATAAAACCTGCAGTTTTATGGAAAGATGTAAGCAGTAATGTATGGTGTGGTCCAAATGAATTGTTAACTTGGAGAAGAGGGTATGCTTGTGTCCACACCCCCTCAAGTCCTCTTTGGATTCCAGCAAGACACATCAAACCATACCATGACATGGCTAGGACTCAACCCGGTACCAGAAATGAAGGAACTAACCCTGCAGGACCCACGGTCCCGGATGATGCAGCTTCCGTGGATGACACAAACCCTAGACATTACTGGGGGATGCTGAAGAGGACAACTCAGGAGGCTGAATGAACCCTGCTCTGGACACAGACACCATTCACTCCAGATAATTTGCTCCTTGCTATGATTTCTGTTGTACATTGCAACTCATGTAGGGTATTGATCCTTTTTATGCTCGTGCTTTGTCTGCAACCTGTTCCTGCTACACTCTATTGGGCTCATATCTTAGATCCGCCTTTCTTTCACCCTGTCACCTAGGCAGACACTCCCTTCCCAACTTTTAATAACATAACTGCTTGGCTAGGAGGGATAGATTTACCCCCAGTGGGGTCCCTCGATAATGGCATACACTGGACTAAGGTGCCAGACACACTACATATCACTCCACTATCCTCCCACTGTGTGTAAGTTATAAAGATTATAACCCTTACTGTGTACCTGCCCAAACACAATTATGGCTACATCATGGCAAAAGAAATGCCTTTAAAGTCTTAGCTGCAGGTAGCTTCAAATCAGGTAATGCAATCAATGATTCTTTCCCAAACATTCCTTCCTGTGCTAAAGAATAAAGCTGGGAAAGTAATGGATTCCACTTTAGCTGGGAGGTCTGTCACGGGGAATAAGCTTGTAGCCTCCAGCTAGGCCATTATAATACCTTAGACTGGAGCCC
Organism: Homo sapiens; assembly: GCF_000001405.40. NCBI lineage: Eukaryota > Metazoa > Chordata > Mammalia > Primates > Hominidae > Homo > Homo sapiens. The sequence continues at coordinate 4,298,852 of NT_167245.2, forward strand.
CCACGGCCATTTTCAGGGCATCCTTACTGATGTCCTCATCTATCATGGTGTTAATCACAGTTTTGTAGCCTCATCACGTTCCCCTATGATTTAGGCCAATGGGGGGGATGGGTTATCCCATACCCCAAGTAAAGTCCATGCTACCCAAGACACTTTACGGTACCTGGGACATCTTAGCACCTCCTTTTCACCTGGCATGGGACATATCATAATTCCAGTGGCAAATACACTATAACCTTTATTCATAATCACACTGATCAGTGCCTAATTTATACTACCCATACATATATTTTCCTTATGGAAACTGATACTTCCATTACACCCCAAAACTCCGCATTTGTGACCCAGGTGCAGGAACAGGCTTGGTTTGCCTCATGTATCACTAATTATAATACATCTAATTTAAATATTACTAGTGTCATGGTATTAAGGAGACAATCTGAGGCATTCCTACCCAGTCAATTTGACATGCGATTGGCAAGGTTCCTCTGCCCTTGCCACCTAAGAATGTGCCCTGTCCTAGGCCAGACCCAAAAGATACATAGGCACACTTACAGCCTTTATAGTCTCAGCCACAGTCATCCTAGCAACTGCTAGTGTGGCTGTAGCAGCTATTACTGAATCAGTACAAATAGGTGCTTTTGTAGATAATTTGGCCAGAAATGTGTCTAATGAACTTCTCTTACAGCAGGGTATAGAGCAAAAGATTCTTGCACGTCTGCAAGCCCTTGAGGCCCTTGAGGCTGCCCTGGAATATATGGGGGAGTAACAAGATGCACTGGCATTCTAACAGCAATTAAACTGCGACTGGGCGCATAAACATATCTGTGTCACTTCTCTATCATAGAGTCAATCAATACATAGTTGGGATGAAGTGAAACAACACCTCTGGGGAACAATTCATGACAATTTAATAGCAGATGTAAAGCAACTTCAAACTAAAATTTTAGAATCCCTTCCCACTATAGATCTACACACCCAACAAACAGCCATATGGAAGGGTGTGCAAGATCATCACTCCTGGTTAGACCCCCGCTCCTGGGGTTCACTCTTTGACTGGAAAAGAATATTGCTAATTATTCTCATGATTGTCTTATGTTATTTGCTAATTCTAGGATGCAAAGCCGGAATAAAAGCGATGACTGCCTTGCCTGACAGACGTGTTGCTGCACACATCTGTACACTTCAGTCAACAGAAGAGCGTGTGCACTTATTAGATGAGTGTTGGTATCAATGGATACATGTACATATCTTAGTTTTCCAAATTCAGGGATGTAACTTCTGTTTGCCATAACTGATTAGGTTCTAATCCTCTAGGGTTAACACCTTTTGTGTTAGAACCTGTGAAGTAGAAGTAACTCAGAAGTGCTCCTCAGAGAGTAGACAGCTCTTTCTCTAACCGTTTCCAGCTCAGTAGAATTTAGAAAGGCTTCTAGGAGGCCAACCAGTCTTTTTGATCCAACATTGAATTGTAAAACCGGATATGGAAGCCAAATTTCACAGTGGATCTAACAAAGTAGCTAATGGGTACTATGCTTCTGAGAACCTGAACAGGCATCTGAGAGCTGTAACTAGAAGAAAAGTAAAGACTCCGGACTCCAGCACCAAGCAGGTTTTCCTTAGCAATTTACAACCTGAAGCTCCAAGGAAAAACTATTTTAGCATACACCAAAACTATTCCCATGTGCCAACAGGTAAGGAGACTTGTACTTATATTCTGTTTTATTCTTCTCTAACTCGTTTCTGTGCACTATTTCTATGTTTTCTCCTTAGTTTTACCTTGCCTGGGTTTGCCCATTTGTTATTCATATCTATTTATCAATCCCAAAATACTAAAAGGATCCAGGCAGGGCAGCTTTAATTGGTGGCTGCACAGAGTGCTACTTCCTGTGAGGCAGCAATTCTAACCCTAGTTGGCATACACTTCAGATTTTCTCAACAGCAGAAGATGTAACCTTCCCAAGAACCCACTTCAACCCTCAGTTCTCTCACTTCTATGTCCACGTGACACTCTGATACATTTTCCCACTATGAAAAGAACTGTTCTCTTGATAGCATGCCATACCTCTCCCTTCTCTGCAACTCACTCAGGACAATCTCAGTACCTTTATTACCTGGTCACAAGTGAGGATGCTTCACACTCAAATCTCATTGGCTGGAGGGAAAGTCATTAAGCAGAAGTGATAATTCTTGTCATCACAGCTTTCTCCAAACCTTCTCCATCGGCATTTTACTCTCACTCTTAGAGCTTAGCTTCAACCATCAAACAGACAGTTGAGTGTTCAACAGTCCCTTTATGGGACAGATTTTTTTAGTTGACTGTGTATTCTAACCCTGAGCAATGGGGCCCCTGGCTAAGAGAGAGAAGGGAAAGCAGAGAGGGAAGTGTTGCAATGCTACCTTTTCAGAGAGGAAATAGAGACAAATAGTTTTTATGGGTGTAATACACAGCCTCCACTGTCCCACAATAAGAGCAATTGAGCTTAAATACCAAAAAGGGCTTTTCTATGTGAGCTGAAAACAGAAAGAGAGAGCAAATGGGAGGATGGGCTGGAGTAATCTTGTTTGAAGTTCTCTCATCCTAAGGAAGAACCTTTTCTTCCTCTGTCATACACGAGTGCTTAGGGCTTACATAAGCCCCATCTGCACGCTGCTAGGAGCAGATCATCCTACTCAAGACAATAAAAAAGGAATCATCATGTACCTTACATATTTAGAGATACGTGCGTACACTTTTCTCATAAATAAAGCAACACACCCCTGCCTGACCTCCTAGGACCTCCATAGTTGAGGTATAGTTATTTGGAGTCAGAGATTCTTAAACCAATCCTGGTTCTGCTTTTTTCACTTCACCAAACCAAACTTGACCAGATTCTTTAATGGCTCCAAAATCACAACCCTTTGAACTATTTTACTCCTGTTTTCCATTTTCCTTTATACCTCTGTCCAGGTGGTACAGATTTTTCTTAAAAATCTATGTCTGAGTGTACAGAGCTTCAAGTAAAGTTCAAGAAGGGAATAGGAGATCTATCACCTTCCTTATTACAGAAATATTGCTGATATTAATGCAGGCTAATGTTATATTAAGTCCCTTGACAGGTATATCAAACTATTTGGTCTTATCCAGTTGGTGGTCAACCAGATAGTTATAAGTGAGATGGAGAGACAGGTCATTCTCTTCCCATAGCCCTCTCTTCCTTACCCTATTTACCCCAAAACGCTGAGGCAGGAAATAATGCATACTCCTTTGTGCACTGCTCCTCCATTTCCCATTTTTAAATGGAGACATACTTAAGGCATAATCTTCAGCCCTTTGCTCATCTCTCTACACTCATTCTCCTGCAGATCTCAGTCACCCTCATGGCATCAATCATGATGCCACAGAAAAACCCATTAGTGTATAGTCTCTGGCTTCATCTCAGTATATGTACTGGGCACATCCGTCTGGATGTTCCGTCATTACCTCAAACTCTGTCCTTAATTTTTTTGTTAGAAACATCTCTTCTCTACAAACCATGCTTTGTGTTCAGCATGCTCATCTGGCATCCAGTTTAAGAAGGATATCTTCTGGCCATGATTTGATTTTTGTATGAAAAAAATCTTTGTTGTAGAAATCAGCATACTATTTTTTTTTTATTATTATTATTTTATTGATCATTCTTGGGTGTTTCTCGCAGAGGGGGATTTGGCAGGGTCACAGGACAATAGTGGAGGGAAGGTCAGCAGATAAACAAGTGAACAAAGGTCTCTGGTTTTCCTAGGCAGAGGACCCTGCGGCCTTCCGCAGTGTTTGTGTCCCTGGGTACTTGAGATTAGGGAGTGGTGATGACTCTTAAGGAGCATGCTGCCTTCAAGCATCTGTTTAACAAAGCACATCTTGCACCACCCTTAATCCATTCAACCCTGAGTGGATACAGCACATGTTTCAGAGAGCACAGGGTTGGGGGTAAGGTCACCGATCAACAGGATCCCAAGGCAGAAGAATTTTTCTTAGTACAGAACAAAATGAAAAGTCTCCCATGTCTACCTCTTTCTACACAGACACGGCAACCATCCGATTTCTCAATCTTTTCCCCACCTTTCCCCCGTTTCTATTCTACAAAACCGCCATTGTCATCACGGCCCGTTCTCAATGAGCTGTTGGGTACACCTCCCAGACGGGGTGGTGGCGGGGCAGAGGGGCTCCTCACTTCCCAGTAGGCGCGGCCGGGCAGAGGCGCCCCTCACTTCCCGGATGGGGTGGCTGGCCGGGCGGGGGGCTGACCCCCCCACCTCCCTCCCGGACGGGGCGGCTGGCGGGGCAGGGGGCTGACCCCCCACCTCCCTCCCGGACGGGGCGGCTGGCTGGGCAGAGGGGCTCTTCACTTCCCAGTAGGGGCGGCCGGGCAGAGGCGCCCCTCACTTCCCGGATGGGGTGGCTGGCCGGGCGGGGGGCTGACCCCCCCACCTCCCTCCCGGATGGGGCGGCTGGCCGGGCGGGGGACTGACTCCCCCACCTCCCTCCCGGATGGGGCGGCTGGCCGGGCAGAGGGGCTCCTCACTTCCCAGTAGGGGCGGCCGGGCAGAGGCGCCCCTCACCTGCCGGACGGGGCGGCTGGCCGGGCGGGGGGCTGACCCCCCCACCTCCCTCCCGGAGGAGGTGACTGCCGGGCGGAGACGCTCCTCAATTCCCAGACAGGGTGGCTGCTGGGCGGAGGGGTTCCTCACTTCTCAGACGGGGCGGTTGCCAGGCAGAGGGTCTCCTCACTTCTCAGACGGGGCGGCCGGGCAGAGACGCTCCTCACATCCCGGACGGGGCGGCAGGGCAGAGGTGCTCCCCACATCTCAGACGATGGGCGGCCAGGCAGAGACGCTCCTCACTTCCCAGATGTGATGGCGGCCGGGAAGAGGCGCTCCTCACTTCCTAGATGGGATGGCGGCCGGGCAGAGACGCTCCTCACTTTCCAGACTGGGCAGCCAGGCAGAGGGGCTCCTCACATCCCAGACGATGGGCGGCCAGGCGGAGACGCTCTTCACTTCCCAGACGGGGTGGCGGCCGGGCAGAGGCTGCAGTCTCGGCACTTTGGGAGGCCAAGGCAGGCTGCTGGGAGGTGGAGGTTGTAGCGAGCCGAGATCACGCCACTGCACTCCAGCCTGGGCACCATTGAGCACTGAGTGAACGAGACTCTGTCTGCAATCCCGGCACCTCGGGAGGCCGAGGCTGGCGGATCACTCTCGGTTAGGAGCTGGAGACCAGCCCAGCCAATACAGCGAATCCCCATCTCCACCAAAAAAATACGAAAACCAGTCAGGTGTGGCGGCGCGCGCCTGCAATCGCAGGCACTCGGCAAGCTGAGGCAGGAGAATCAGGCAGGGAGGTTGCAGTGAGCCGTGATGGCAGCAGTATCGTCCAGCTTCGGCTCGGCATCAGAGGGAGACTGTGGAAAGAGAGGGAGAGGGAGACCGTGGGGAGAGGGAGAGGGAGAGGGAGAGGGAGACCGTGGGGAGAGGGAGAGGGAGAGACACTATTTTTTAAAATATGGAGAGAAGATATTCTGGTGGCTGAAAGTGTGGTCTGGTGTCAGATATAAATGTGCAAATGCCTTCTTGCTGTCCTGTCGGTCTCAGTACATTCACCTTGTAGCTGCTGGAAATATCGAAGGTTCCTTTTTTGTTTGTGTAAACTCTAATTTCTATCAAGGTGTCATGGACTTTTAAAATTAGTATTTCATTACAAATGTCTCAGCATTGGTCAATTTTTGCCAGGACCATTATTGATCAAGCAAATAAATTCAACAGCCATTAGGAAAAAAAAAGAAGGCCATCTTCTTTTTTCAATAAATGTATTATATAGTTAATAGTTTCATTTATATAGAATGCATAGAAACTGTTCACAGAATGTCCAGCATTTTGTATTTTTGCAGTAGGGAACATTTCTTCACTGAATTCCACTTTCACATTAGATAATTTAATAGTTTTATGGAGAAAGTAAAATGCCCGCCCCCCTCCCCCACCCAAAATTGAAAATTTCAGTTGTTGGTTTTCATGGACACACCTTATCAGGTAATTCCTTTTTATTCCTAGTTTTCTAGGACTTTTTATCATGAATGAGCAAATGCCTTTTTCTGCATCCATTTACATAATTACATAATTTTTCTTTGTATTCTGTTAAGATGTGGAATCACATTGATTTTTTGCATGTTAAACATGCCTTCCATTCCTGGCATAAACTTTTATGATCATGTTATATCATCCTTTTTAATATATTATTGAATTCAATTTTAAAAAATATTTTGTTAAACATTTTCATGGCTATGTTTGTGTGTCTTTAGTTTCCTTTTCTTTTAATGTCATTGTTTGATGTTAGTATATTGGACTTGTAAATTATTGGGATGTGTTTTCTTCTGCTCTTTTGTTGAAAGAGTTTGTATTGAGTTTGTATTGTTTCTTCCTTAAATGTATAATAGAATTAATCATACAGACATTAAAAGTATTATGACAGTATTATGACAGAATACTATGGATTAATCAATGAAGCCATCTGACCTGGAAACCATTTGGCCTTCTCTGTGAGAAGGATTTTTAAAATTACAAACTTAATTTCTTCCATTGACAGAGATTTCTTCTTGATTTAGTTTTGGTAATTTGAATCGTTCAAGAAATGTTTCTATTTCATGTTGTTAAAATAAAAATTTTAGAGAAGTTGAATTTAACAGAGTTTATTTAGCAAAGAACAATTCATGAATTGGGGAGCCCTCAGAACCCAGAAAGATTCAGAAAGCTCTGTCCAGCAACATGTGAAGGCAGTGTTTATAGATAAAAACAGGAAGTGATACTCAAAACCAGCCAATTTATTACAGCTCAGTGTTTGCCTTATATGGGCATGGCGTGATGAGGCATTTGCCTTATGGGGGACATAATATGATCACTTGGCAGCCTGTGATTGGCTGAGACTCAGCTATTTATTACAACACTCTTAAGTTAGGCTGTAGTTTGTTTGCATAACGCAGTTATGTTAAGTTGGGTTAGTTTGCTATGTAGGAATTTAAGATATGGAGAAAGCTTTACACCAAATTTAATTTAATTTAACAATGTAAATTGTCAAATTTATTGTCATTTTTGTTTATTGGCATTTTCATAGCATTCTGTCATAATACTTTTAATGTCTGTATGATTTGTTGTGACGTACCCACTTCCATTTCTGATATTGGGGATTTGAGTCTTATCTCTTTTTCTTGATCCATCTACCTAGAGATTCATGAATGTATTGAGCCTTATTGAAAACCAGCAATTGACTTTGTTTATTTTCTTTATTGTTTGTCCATTTTATTGCATTTATTTCTGATCTTATTAATCTTGGGATTCATTTGACTTTTTTTTTCTAGCTTCTTAAGATGGGAACATAGATGGTTGATTTTAGAGTTTCCCTCCTTTCCAATTATGTAAAGTTATAAATTATTCTCTAATTAGTGTATCATACTAATTTTGATAGTGTGCTTTCATATTCACTCAGTTCAAAATATTTTCTAATTTTCCTTCTGACTCTTTTTAAATCCAGGTGCTGTTTAGCAGTATACTTTTTAATTTCTAGGTATTTGGGACTTTCAAGGTATTTTTCTGTTATTGGTTTCTAATTTAATGCTATTGTGGTCCGAGAATGTATTCTGTATGATTTCAATAGAGACATTTATTTATTTAGACATTTATTTATATGTGTTTATGACCCAGTGTATAGTCTGTCCTGTGGAATATTCTTGAGCATTTGAAAATAATGTGTATTCTGCCACTATTGGGTGGAATATTCTACAGATCTTGATTAGATCACGTTGGTTCATTGATAATGTTATTTAAATCTATCATGTCCTCATGAAGTTTTTTCCTAAATATTTTATTGTTTACTGAGTGCTAGAATACTAAAATATAATTGTGAATTTGTCTATTTCTGATTTATTTTTATCATTTTTGGTATAATGTGATTTAAGACATATTTTCTAAGAACAAACACATTTAGGATTGTTATATGTTGATAATAAAATGATCCTTTTATCATTATGAACTATCCTTCTTTCTCCTTGGTAATATTTCTGAGTCTTATATTTCTGATATTAACACAGCCACCAATACTTCCATGGTTGGCATTATTTTCGTTTTTTTTTTTTTTACTTTAAGTTCTGGGATACATGTGCAGAATGTGCAGGTTTGTTACATAGTTATACATGTGCCATGTGGTTTGCTGCATCTATCAACCCATCATCTAGGTTTTAAGCCATGCATACATTCGGTATGTGTCCTAATGCTCTCCCTCCCCTTGCTCCCCATGCCCTGACAGACCCTGGTGTGAGGTGTTCCCCTCCCTGTGTCCATGTGTTCTAATTGTTGAACTCCCACTTACGAGTGAGAACGTGTGGTGTTTGGTTTTCTGTTCCTGTGTTAGTTTGCTGTGAAGGATGGCTTCCAGCTTCATCCATGTCCCCACAAACAACATGAACTCATTTTTTTATGGCTGCATAGCATTCCACGGTATACATGTATTTTCCCATTCTTTTACTTTTTACCTGTCTTTGCCTTCATATTTAAAGAGGGCATTATGTAGAGAGCATGAAGTTGGCCTGTAGATTTTTTTGTGCATTCTGACAATCTTTCCCTTTTCATTAGAATATTTAGGCCATGTGCATTTAATTCAATTATTAGTATGGTTGTTTTAAACTCTACCATCTTACAGTTTGTTTTCTTTTTGTCTTACCAGACTTTCCCTTTTTTATTTCTTTATTTTGAATTAATTATGCTTAGTGTTCTATTTTATCTTCTCCATTGGCCTCTTGGCTATACCTCTTTTTTTTTCAATAGTTATCAGGAGCTTAAAATATTCATCTTAATACATTCTACCTTCAAATAATAACACACCACTTAACATGTATAAGAAACTTACAACATTATACTTCCATTTCTCCCTTCTATTCTTTGTGCCATTGTCATCATATTTTACTTCTGGGTATGTTATAAACCCCCAAATAATTTTTACTTTAAACAATTCCTTTTTTAACTTAAAAAAAACTAGAGAACATGTTTTTATATTTATCTGAATTTTTACCATTTCATGCTTTTTTCATCGTAATATCTAATGAACACTCATAAAGAAACAAAATCCTTGCTCAAATAAGATATTTTTCTTCATAATCATCACTATTCTCAAACCTTTGAAAGCTCTGGTAATCATGATTTAAGTTCTCCCACATGGAGTGACTATGGCTGGTAAAAATTGCAATGAATTAGGGCATTTTAAAAATTTTATTTCTTGGCTCTTAGTTTATCATGTAGAAAAATCCTCCATGAAATATTGCTATAATTACAATACAGCCTTGGGAAGGAAGCTCAGGGGCTGTGAATGGAATCCTAATCTGCCTGAAATCTTGATCCAGACAGACCAAATCTCTTCCCTCAGAGACTTCAAACACTGCAGTCTTCAAACTACATCCAAGAAAATCTTCATCCAAGTAAAATTTCCCCCAAATATCCTTTCTCTACCCCACCCTATCCTGTAGTTAGGGAAAAACCCAGGACTGAATCAATATCCTCAGACCTTTCCGTTCAAGTGGGATCAGAACCTTTAGTAACCACATCGGCAACAGAGGTTGAAACCACACCTTCAAGAAATAGTATTCACATGTGACCTGGTCCTAGACTTCCAGTAAGAATGACTCAGAGTCTCCCCGCTCTGAAATACTGAAGTATTTATTGGTCTTAGGGTATTCTCGGGAAGGTGACAGTGAGGGGTTCTTCAAAGGAGAACAGAGGATAAAAGGCTCAATGAAAGGATAATCTCCATATTAGTGCTACCAAAGTGTCATTAATTTCTATTTGTTGGAAACTTTACTAAGGAATGACTGCTTTGAGGTAATGGATAAGGACAGAGCTTGAAGGGTCAGCAATTCAGTCAGCCACTGGAGTAGTTTTCACATGAAGTGAGAAGAAAAGCTGAGATGGAGTTTGTAGGGCAGCTGGAGTTCAGATCTCTCCTAAGTCCTCTTCTGTTCAGATATTTTGTCACCTGCAGCAACACACACAGTTATTGTCATTCCTGGGTTCAGTACTGTAAGCCCGGACCCATCTTCCCCACTCCCTTTGCACCCGAGCTTCCCATTTCTCTGCCCTGTTCAGGTCCCAGGGAGAAGGTGGTCATCCCTGCACATGCCCTGGTCCTCCAGGTGAAGAGCACATAGGAGCCAAGGAGTTCACGAAAGTCATTGAATTTCACCCTCAAACCCCAGCTGACTGTGAGGCCATCCCACATGCTTCATGTCTCCAAAATATACAGACAAGGGGAAGGGCCACATTACTGAGGGCAGAGAAGAAGCTTAACCCTGGAATGAGAATTGGAAGGGACAAATATCCAAACCATATCAATGACGGCAATGAACGAAGGATACTTGCTCACATTGTGTATACTGCTCTTTGAAAGGATTTCAAAAACCAAGGTAAATTTTCTAAAATGACCTCTGTTGAACATCTGACAGCAGTACTTCCTCCTTCCTGAATTCTTTAATTCCTTGGCTCATGTGACAGCATATTCTCCTAATTCTTCTGCTTCTCTGCTTCTCCATTTTTGTTAAATACTCCTCTTTGGATGTTTTGTTAATCATGTATCTTTGCATTAATTTTGCCTTTTCAAGATATTTCATTAAAATATGATTTATTACTGAGTTCTTTTGGTATCCCCCAAATTTTGCACCTAAGCCAGGTGCATCCCCTACATCACCCTAGTCCCAGCCCTCTTTTCCATTCTTCCTCTTAACATCTGACATTCTACATTCACTTCACTCTGTTACAAATCATTATAGATATAATTATAAATGTGTGTGAACTAAGAAAAATAAACAAGAATTTGTCCTACTGGATACTAACACACACTACAATGTCATAGTAATCAAAATACTAGGACACTGGCACAAGAAGAGACAAACAGAACAGTGGAACAAGATGGAACTCAGACACAGGCCCACCTATAATGGGAGCTTTCAGTATAGCAAAGGAGACACTACTAACCTATGGGGAAAAGGTGAACTATTTAGTAGTTGTGGGAACACACTGGCCCATTATATAAAGAAAAATAAAACATGATCCCCATCAAACACAAAGATGAATCCCAGATGAATTAAAGTAGTAAATGTGAAATTTAAAACTGTAGGAGATGTTTTAAGAGTATCTTTGATATCTCAGTATAGGGAAGACTTCTTTTAAAAAAGACACACAAACAAAAATACAGTTGATGGACTTCATTACAAAATATTAAGGATTTCTCTTCAATAAAGGAAACCAAGGAGACAGTTGCCAGAAGTCAGATTAGAGGAAAACATTTGCAATGCCTAAAACTGACAAGGGACTACTAGCAGGACTATATAAGGATCACCTGCAAATCAATAAGAAAATGATGGAAGCACATAGTACAAAAATGGACAATGAATGTGAACAGGCAATTTATAGAAAAGGAACCCCCAAGTGGCTAATCAGTCCTAATTATAGCCCCAATTATTAGTAATTAAAGAAATGCAAAATAAAACAGCATATTTCTTTATGCACATGAAATTGGCAAAAGTTAGAAAACTGGATAATGTCCAGTGTTGAAGTCCATTTAGGAGTTGCAGGACAATTAGAGTACTGACAAAGGAAGTTCAGATGAGTACAGCCATTCTGATGAGAAGATGAGCAGTGTTTAGTCAAATTAAGGAGCTGCATCTCCAGCAACCCTGCAACCCCTTTCTAGGATACATACATTCCAGGGATGCAGGTCAGGCCCACATGTATATGCAGTTCCATGTGAGATACAAGCATTGCTTGCAATAGTAGAGAACCAGGAATGATCCAGGTATCCCAGGAGCAATGTAGATATGTGGATTAATATGATTTGGATATTTGTCACTTCCAAGTCTCATGTTGAAAATTGATCCCCAGTGTTGCAGGTGGGGCCTGGTGGGAGGTATTTGAATCATGGAGGAGACCCTCATGAATGGCTTTGTCCCCTCTCCGGGTAATGAGTGAGTTCTCACTCTATTAGTGCACATGAAACCTGGTTGTTAAAAAGAGGCTGGCACCTCTTTCTATGTCTCTTTCTCCCTCTATGACCATGTGATGCACTGGCTCCACTTGCCTTCCACCATGAGTAAAAGCTTCCAGAATCCCCCAACAGAAGCAGATGCTAGTGCCATGTTTCGCGTACAGCCTGCAGATCTGTGAGCCATTTAAAGCTCTTTTCTTCGTAAATTAGGTAACTTCAGATATTCCTTTATAGCAATGCAAAATGGACTAATGCATGGACATATAAAGTAAAATACTATGGAAGATTTGGAAGAAACAAACTGGATGTACAAAATTAGATCTATAATTTAATGCCATTTTGGTTAATTAAAAATACATGTACACTGGACACTACTACATATTACAGAGGATCTATGCAAATAAAAGGAAACATCAAATTCATTAAAATGTTTACCTATGAGGTAGGGGTAAGAGGTTAGATATGGGAGTAAGGACTGGAGATAAAAGGGACCAAATAAATCAAGGGAGAGAGAGAGAGCTCGGAGGCACCAATGATGATCATATAATGAACTGAGAAGTTCTTAACCTTTTGTACCTGAGGTCCAGCATGAATAACAATAATAATAATGAATTAGATGTGGTCATCTGCATGGAAGTTCACTGTCTAATGCTAAGAGAATTCCCAAAACATATAAAAATATAAAGCATGGTGAGTGTTATGATAAATAGAAACCTGTAAGATCTCTGGAGGGGCATTTTTTGTGTGAACATTGCCATGGAATGAGTCCAAGTAGAGACAGTAAGTAGTTACAGGCACCCACCACACTGTGTTGTAATTATGTATAGAAATATAGATCTGACTCCATTATTTGGCAATGGACTCTGGAGAATTTGAACTTGGTCTTTTCCTTCACAAAATAGGGTGAATAGGACAGTGGATAAACAGTCTTGGATCCAGACTTTCTGGATTGGAAGCTAGCCCTACTACTTCATAGCTGTGGGAACTTGATCAAAGTGCTTAAAGTCTCTGTGTATGTAAAAAGATGTAAGTATCTCTCATGTGAAATAGTGAAAATAATAGTACCTACCTCAAAGACTATGTGTGAGAATAAAGTGAGTTAATAAATGTAAATCCTCAGAATAGCGCCTGACCATATTAACTACTCAGTTAGTTATCGGTGTTGTTGTTGTTATGTGGCTGAATGCTTTTAACCCATTAGAAGATCAATGAACACTTATCAGATTGAATTTTTCCTCCCTTCCTTACATTCTACAAATCCTAGGGCCTCCTCTTTACATTCCCACCTTTACAGTATTTCACAGGGTCCCCTGGGCCCGGGGGTCATGGCCAGAACGCAGAGACTTTATGATGAGGACGGTGCCCACGATGATGCCGACTAGGCCCAGCACCAGGCCCAGGGCACAGAGCACAGTCTCCGTTGTCTCAGGCATCTGGATTGGCTCTTGGGCCTCTGGGGGAAGAATGAAGAGATAGGGTCAGGAGGTGCAGTGAGGGTGGTGATGGCCTGGGATGGTTGTGGGAATTGAAGGTTATGGACCAGTTAATTGGATGTTAGGACGAGGAGAGGACTGAGACCCAGCCAGTGCGGAAAGCTGGTGCAGAGGACACCAGGTCTTTGGAATAGAGGATGCCAGGAGATTATGGAGAGAAAAGCAGTTGCATACCCCAGTGCTTGAGGAGCGGCTGGTCCAAGCCCCAGTGCTCCACCCTGCAGTCATAGAAGTCCTCTGCTGAGGGCACAAAGGTCAGGTAATGGAACTTGTGGAAGCTGTAATCTGTTCTGGGCAGGAAGAGGCTCTCAGCGACACCCTCAGTGACCAGCTCCCCGTTGCACAGCCACGTGACGTTGAGCACTGGTGGGAAGAACTTGTCAATGTGGCAGATGAGGGTGTTGGGCTGGCCCAGCTCCACAGGCTCCTTGGGAAACACGGTCACCTCAGGGGGATCTGGAAGGAGACAGCACCAGGTTAGGCCCCTCTTCTGGGATGAATCACAAAGGCTCCACCTCTTAGGGGAGGGTGGTCCTCTACCTCAGCCTTAGATTTTATGGCAGCTCTGAATCACAGAGAGGGGTATCACACCACTGACCAGCCTCACTCTGCTCACCTTTCTCTCTCCTGAGAAGAGAGGATGCAAGCCCTTGCTGTAGTGGGATCAGCCCATGGCCACTAGGGGAAGAGGATCACACAGCAGGGGGCACTTAGGCTTCCTAGTCTGAGGGTGGCAGAGAGGCCCTCTCATCCCTTCCAGTTGGGCTACAGAGGAAGAGGCAAAGATAGGGCGTACCGTTGGTGGCCTGAGTGTGGTTGGAACGCTGGATCAAGGTATTCAAGTTGTTGTTCAATATAGCAATGTTAGCCAGCCCGCCCTGAGCCTCAAAGGAAAAGGCTTGGCCAAACTCCTCCAGATGCCAGACGGTCTCCTTCTTGTCCAGATCCACATAGAACATCTCATCTTCATCAAATTCAAACATAAACTCCCCTGTTGGTCTATGCGTCTGTACAAACGCGGCATAAGTTGACACATGGTCCGCTGCATAAAGACAGTAGAGAAAAACACGACAAAATGTCAGTTTGAATATGCAAGTGGTCAAAGCTAGAGAATGAATAAAGACTTATGAATATAAAAAGGAAGAAGGTAAGAGGTCAAAGGAAGGACATATGGGGAAGAAGAAGGAGCAACACCATAAAGGAAATAATACAGAGCAGATGAGCAGTTATAAAAAGAAAGGAGCAAAGAACAAAATGAAAAGTTTATCACTGATAAGTCAAGCTGCTTCCTGGTCTTTGAAAGTCTGGGCATCCTGACCCTACACAATAGTAATAGTAACAATGACAGCTAACATTTGTTGAGCACTTACTTGTGCCAGGCATCCTTCTAAATACTTTACATATTTCACTCGCTGAATTGTCACAATAACCCTATGAAGCAAATACATATCATACATTTTACAGGTAAGGAAATGCAGGGAAGTTACATATTAATAACTTGCTAAGGTCATACGGCTACTGGCGGAACTAGTAGAGAGGTTTTCTCTCCCATTAAGATCTTAATTTTTCTATGACACAGATGTAAAATTGTTTTTAGAGTCATGGGGGTGGGGGAATGGACATTTTCTTTTTCTTATTATAGAAAAGGTAGAAAAAAATACAAAATTGAGAGGAAGAAGAAAATATCCTTCAAATTTTAGGGCTCTTGACAGTTTTAAAGTTTCTGTCTTAGTTTATGAACATGAAACTGTAGAATGTATAGCTTTGTTGATAATATTTTTCATTTGGGGCATATAAATTCAAAAGTACAGTACAGTTATTTTGGCATTTGTTCCAAACTTTTGTTTCCTTTTTAAAAATATTTCAACATTTATTTTATGTTCAGGAGTACATGTGCAGGTTTGTTGTATAGGTAAACTCATGACTTGGGGGTTTAGTGTACAGATTATTTCATCACACAGGTACTAAGCATTCTAAACTTTTCTTACATTTATATTTTGATTTTTGTTTTAGAGGCCAACTAGAAATTATTGCTGAGTTTGGAACACCTGTAGGATTTAATTTATTTTGTTTCTTAGTCTTTATTAGTTTGTAAGAATTAGCAAAGATAAGAGGATAAAAGCAACTATTATCATGAAAGAAAACGATGAATGTGTATGTGAAAGTCTGGGTTTAGAATGATAAATGCATCAGAGTGAGAAGGAACTACGGGACTCTTCTGCTCTCACCTCCCAACTCACAGATTTCCCTGTGAGTTTTCAGCCCTGACATGTGGGGACCCAGTCTGTGCTTGGCCACTTACAGTGACAGGAGAATGACTCCTTGCCACTGTAATTGTAAGTGTCTAGAGGGTATGACCTGTGTCTTATTTTTCACTGAGAATGACTCCCTGACACAGTAAGTGGCCAAGCAAAGAGTGGTATTTGAAACTAAACAAAACAAATCCTATAGGTATTTCACTAGGAAACTTAGCTTGCTCCTCAGTTTAAAGGACTCAAAGGACTCATCAGGAAAAAGAGGGTAAAATAAAAAGACACAAAGTCCTCTAGCAGTTATTGGAAACTCATCTTCTTAATACATGAATGTCCCTTGTACTTTTTAAAATGCTTTTTAAAAAACACTTTCACAAGTTCTGCAGTCCAAAGATCAGCCAGCTATGGAACAGATTATTTTTCTTCAAAATATCATTTCCATTCAGACAAAAATATGTATTAAAAGACTACTATATGTCAAACACTGTTAGATGCTAAATACCCAAATAAAAATAATACATACGTCCTGTTCTGCAGACGCGTATAAGTCACAGAAGGAAACACAAGTGACAGGACAACAGCAGGTTCAGAAGGATAAGTGCAGATACGTAGGTATACACAAGATGCGACCAAACAGCACATCAGGGAAGGCTTCCTGGGGAACAGATGGCTTCAATGTAGGCATTCAGAAAACAGGGCAAAAGCCACTTCTCTCAGGGAAGACAGCCTGACCGGGAGAAGATACTGAGTTTACTGTGGGGCTATTGCACTTAGAAGACCTGAAAGTCATCTAAGGAGAAATAATACATAGATATTTGTGGATTATGGGTGGTCTCAGGAGAGGAATTTAGGCCATAGAACTGAGAGTCATTAGTGGCAGGTGCAGGTTAAATAAGATTTTCCAGGAAGAGTGCCAAAAATCAGAATTGCCGAGATCTCAGGGTATAATGAGAGAACATGATAGTTAAGAGGTGGTTTAAAAGATGATAAGGAGGATCCAGGTAAACAGGAGAAAAATAAGGACAGGGTAGTTCATCAGAAAGAAGTGGATTATAGTGCAAATGTTATTAGTAACTCAAGTCAGAGGCACTGAGAAGAACCCACTGAATTTGACCTTCTGTAGAGGTTCCTGATGGCCAAGATGAGAGGATCCTCAGGGATGTACCAGAGACAAGTCAGAAGCTTAGCTCCACGTGTGAGGACACAAAGAAAGTGTCTCTGGGACAGGATGCAGACTGAAGGCAAGGTTGTTTTTTATCAGTTGGTTTGCACTTATGTTTTTAAGGTAAATGACATGTTTAAATGTTAAGAGACTGGGCAGGGAAGCCCTGAAGAGACAGCTGAGCTCATTAGGAATTTCTACCAAGAATACTAAAAAGTATTTGCATCTATGAAGAGAAGCCTATTGTGGTGTTTATTATAACATAACATTAGAAATAACTCAGGTGACCGCGAACAGGGCAATAGATACTTCTGGTTCTACCCAGCCTGACCTCCTCTTTATTCTACACATCTTAAATAAAACTGTCTGAAGCCAGTGTGCATCTTGTACGTTATGGATTCTAACCTTCCCCATCACTAGATTTTGGAATGACAGCATCATGCACAGGCTTGATGTCATTCTCCCTGATTTCAGCTACAGGAAAAAGGAGCATTCACTACGGTCCATCTCTGGCTGAGTCCTTGCAGCTATCAAAAGTCTAGGCCTCCCTTGCAGTCCTGAATCTCTCAGAACCCGAATCACAAGGCTATCAAGACCATGCAACCCTGCTGTCTTGAGAGAGGAAAGCTTGTGACCACCCACAAAGACCCAGGAAGAGCCCTAGGGTCCTAGAAGAGAGGGAGGATACAGAAACACTCTTTGCACTTCGTCTCCTAATGCAGAGTCCATAGCTCGGAGTTCCTGTAAAGCAGCCACAAAAGATAGAGGCTGGGGATCCCAGAGAGATAGGAGGGCCCTGATAGTAGGTCACTGTGTGCAGGAATCTGGGGAAGGCAGTGTATGACCCTCAGAGCTGGGTCTGGACTTCAAACTTGGCTCGTTGATCTGCTGTGTAACCTTGGAAAACTTATTCATCTTTTTGAGCTTCAGTTTTTTCAAAATAATTTCTAAATAAAAGGAATAATTTCTAAATGAATGGAATATTATCTTCATTGAAGATTCCTGTGAGATGTAAATGGGGAAAGAAACTATGCAGGAGTCTCATAAATTCTGGCTGTTATTGCTGTTATTATTATGAGGGCCAGAGGGAACATAGACTATGAGGACCAGATAGATCAATGAGCCCCTAAAATCTGTGATCCCTGAAGCAGCAATTGATGTGAACCACCCCATCACTCACCCCGACGCTCCTGCGTCCTCCTGAGCACTCACCCTTGATGGCCCCAGCTCCTCGGAGACTCAGCAGGAAAGCCAAGGAGAGGGCTCTCAAGATCACAGCTCTGATATGGAACATTCTGTCTTCAGGGCGCATGTTGTGGGGTCTATAATTGATGACTGTGAGCACAGGAACAGTGATGAGGAACTGAGGCCGAGTGGAGGCAGATGAGACTGAAACTGTGGGCCTCTAGCACTGGAAATGGGTGGAGAGGAATCAGCATGGCTGGGATTCACCTATCAGAGAAATCATAGAGCTGACATTCTCTGTTGCTGGGTAAAGAGGACGCTGGAAGGTGCTGGGGAAGAGATGGGAGAATTTTAGGTACCAGCGTGGTCAAGAGAGCTCCAGTTCACAGTTCATTTTCAGAGTTAGAGAAAGAGATGTAAAAAGATAAGTTACACCTTCTTCTGACGGCAAATGTTTTCCATTATGTTCCTTCTCCCGAGCCCCACCCCCATCCCAGACAGTCAGATGATCTTTGATGTTTTTTGGTCACTATATTTTAAATCATGTTTTATGTTATGTTGTCAATATTTTACAAAAATATTCTGCTGATAATTAAGAATGAATGTGCTATCTAATAAAATATATAATTAATCTTTCTTTCAGGTCCACCTCCCTGAGATACCTCCTTTTTATTTAATCATTTCTGCAGAAGTGTTATAATTTCTATTTAGAGGTTTTAATTAACTTGAATGAAGTTGATCTTTAATTGTTTATCTATTCCTGGTTACCTTTGTTAGTGAAATTTCTAGATAATTTTTATTTTTCAGATTTCTTAGTATTTGATTTTTCCTGGTATTTAAACAGTGTAATAACATTTTTATCTTTAAATTACTAGTCTTGTTATTTCATTTTCATATAAGAATACCCAGGACAGCATTACCTGTGGTAACAATGTGCGCCCATATTTTGATCTTGTTTTTAAGAAGGGTTTCTCTAATGTTTTTCTGTTACAGGTAATGTTAATTTTTTATTTTATATTCTCTTTACCATATTTAAGAAATACTTTTCTAGTCTCATTTTAAATATTTCAATTTTGAGCTATTTATTTGATACTCATAGAGAAGGTCACAAAACATTTACTATTTAATGTAATGATGAAGTACATATATTACGTTAATATTTTATCTTATTTGTGGTAGCCTTACCTTGCATAAATAATAATTACTAACAGATTAGGACATGAGAGATTCTGTTATTAGTGCTTTGCATGCATTACCTCATTTAAACCTCATATTAAACCTGAGGGAGGTATTATTAATGTCTACTGTAAAAATAAATTACCTGAGACATCGAGGAAGTATTTGTCTAATTATCTATGGCAGGTAAATGACAAGGAGAAAAGTCCCACCCAGGCAGTTACTAAAAAAACTGAGTTTTTCTCCACAATCCTCTCCTGGCCCCTTAATCCTACTAGACACCTTCTACTACATAATTATTTTCTTCTCTTGCATTTTACATGCTAGCCTTCTATTTACATTTTAATATTGATTTAAAGAAATGATGCCAATTTGATTTTTTTTGAAATTAGAATTGGTGGTCCAACAGGATCACATTTATAAGTGTCTAAAGTAAGAAGTAATGTTCTTTGAAAGTTTGTAAAAATATTCACTCTAAACAAAATAGAATCAGATGCTTTGAAGGAGGTGGGGTCTTTGATGATTTTTTTTCACTTTCTTCCTTATTTACCAGTCAATTTATATTCTCTATGGACTTTATTTTTCCAAAGCAATTTCAGACCTATTGATCTCATTTGATCTTAAGAGCTTTGCTATAAGGCAGGTTATATCATCCCCATATTGAAGACAAGGAATCGAAGTCCAAGAGAGGCAGTGTCGTTAAAGCTGCATATTTACATGGTAGGGTAGGTGGTGTGTCCACGCTCCCAGTGTAAGGTCCCTAGACTGAGCCCTCCTGACCCTGATGACAGTCCTGTGGAAGAACCTGGTAACTCCTGCACATCGCAGGACTCACAGACCTCTGGGAGAAAGTAAATATGAATGGGTGCTAATCTTAAACACACCCTTGGACAAAGGCAAGACAGACAGACTCAGACCTCATTTGAGTTCTGAGATGGGTACTCTAATCCCTCTAAGTCATGCCACTGAATGACCTTTTACACACTAAGATAGCACTTTTTCCACAACAGACCATGTCCTGTGGGTGTGTGAGGTGTGGCAGAATTGGGGAAATGATAATCCCTGTAGATGGGCCAGCAGAATATTTGAGATCACCTTCAGAGCAAAGAAAACGCATAATCTCCCCAAACATCATGACTTATCTGACTGGTTAAAATGAGTATCACTGTCTTTCCTCCGTCATCTTAAGTGCATCACAGGCTTTATATTTTCAGACCTTTCATACTAACTTTCTGCCTAGTGAGCAATGACTCATACAAAGCTCAGTGTCCATTGGTTCTTTTCTCAGACTCTGTCCAATCCCAGGGTCACAGAAGACTACTTGGGTTCATGGTCTCTAATATTTCAAACAGGAGCTCCCTTTAGCGAGTCCTTCTTTTCCTGACTGCAGCTCTTTTCATTTTGCCATCCTTTTCCAGCTCCATGATGGTTCTGCAGGTTTCTGCGGCCCCCCGGACAGTGGCTCTGACGGCGTTACTGATGGTGCTGCTCACATCTGTGGTCCAGGGCAGGGCCACTCCAGGTAAGAGCCGAACTGCCATTCTTGGAGGGTCTGGCTCAGGGAACAATTCCTAGGGGACGTTATCTTTAAGGGATCAAATTCTGAGACAGGCTGCGGGGGCTCCTGCCCTAAGGCAGTGTCCTCTCTTCCCAGCTAGAGAAAGAGGTTCATCCCCTATAGGATAGCTTGCTACCCTACTGGCCTATTCTCTCTCCAAGGACATGGGTACAGTAAACAGAGAGAGGTGCCCAGTGGTCAGTGTCTTTGGGGAAAATGGGACCAAGAGGTCCTGGATAACCTTGGACAGACAAGGTTTGCAGAGAGAGAAGTTGGCAAGTGCAGGCTCCTGGGCGTGTTCATGTCTGCATCCAGCCTGGAGGGGACTCAGGCAGAGAGCCCTAAGCTGGAGTGTCCAGGCTCTGAGGATCACTGAGGATTCAGTGCTCACGAAGAATGCCTCTTATTCCCCAGGGTGGAGCAGGAGCCCACATCCCTTGGACAATTAAGGAGAGAAGGGAGGGAGGGGGATAGGTTTTAGCCCCTGAAGGCATTCTCATTAAAGGTACTTCTCCCAGCCTCCCCAGAACTTGGTTAGGGTACTAGAGTGGGTTGCGACTTGTAGGAAGAATGAGATGAGGTTGTGTGGGTGCATGACAGGGATTGAGTGTAGGTTATCAGACAGCCAAGGAAGCAGTAACCAAGTGAAAAATCTCTTCTTCCTGCTGCCTCCCTGTGGCTGGTGTAATATTATGGCATCTATGATCCATTGTTTTTCTCTCAGGATACTCTCAGGATATTTCTTTTTATATATATATATACTTTAAGTTCTAGGGTACATGTGCACAACGTGCAGGTTTGTTACATATGTATACATGTGCCATGTTGGTGTGCTGCACCCATTAACTCGTCATTTACATTAGGTATATTTCCTAATGCTATCCCTCCCCCCTCCCCCCACCCCACAACAGGCCCCGGTGTATGATGTTCCCCTTCCTGTGTCCATGTGTTCTCATTGTTCAGTTCCCACCTATGAGTGAGAACATGTGGTCTTTGGTTTTTTGTCCTTGCAATAGTTTGCTGTGAATGATGATTTCCAGCTTCCTCCATGTCCCTACAAAGGACATGAACTCATCCTTTTTTATGGCTGCACAGTATTCCATGGTGTATATGTGTGCATTTTCTTAATCCAGTCTATCACTGATGGACAGTTGGGTTGGTTCCAAGTCTTTGCTATTGTGAATAGTGCCGCAATAAACATATGTGTGCATGTGTCTTTATAGCAGCATGATTTATAATCCTTTGGGTATATATCCAGTAATGGGATGGCTGGGTCAAATGGTATTTCTAGTTCTAGATCTTTGAGGAATTGCCACACTGTCTTGAGATACCATCTCACACCAGTTAAAATGGCGATCATTAAAAAGTCAGGAAACAACAGGTGCTGGAGAGGATGTGGAGAAATAGGAACACTTTTACTCTGTTGGTGGGACTGTAAACTAGTTCAACCATTGTACTCTCAGGACATTTCTAGTCCAAATTTACACCAACACTCTGAGAGGAAGGACTGCAAAGTAGGTACCTTAGTTTTCCACTGACTTCCACTTTTCCTGCTTACACCCTTCCTCCTAGACCTCTCCACACCCCTCCTAGGACACACCTAGAAGGTACTGACATCATGTCACCTCCTCATCTTTCAGGGTAGCAAGGTTGGAATCTCCTGAATACAGCCCCTCAAGCCCTAAAACCTCTTATCTATTACCTTGGGTTCATTGTCCAGGAAGGGGAGGAGAACTTGAACTTGTAGTCACAGAAGGGTGCTGAGAACTAACCAGCAGGACGGCTCAGCCCTGGGAACTGCAGAGGGGTGAGGCTGGGGAGAGAGGAGGCTGGAGCAGCACTGGTGACACTGAACAGTGTCAGGAGGAAGTGACGGATGCAGCGCCCCCATCCCATAGGCAGAGCTGTCATGTGGGATGAGGGACAGTGTTGGGAGCCACCAAGGAAACCCAGAGGTGGGGGAGCAGAGAGCAGAAGGGGGCATGTGATGCTGGGCAGTGAAAGGGAGGACGGGCAAAGGCTGGGTTGAGGTTTGTAGGGGGAATGAGATGAGGCAGTGGAGCCATGTGACAGGGACTGAGGGTAGATTACTGGAGCTCCCTGCGTAGAATGAATGTTCAATCAAAACCTGCTGGAGGGAGAGCTGGAGCCATAGGGGAGTGGGTAAAGTGGGCAGGGCTGATTCCACAATTCCCTGCATGCTCCCCCAACTCCACACACATCCCCAACCTCAAACAGGGCACAAGACCAAAGGGCTGAGGAGCCAGGCTATAGCTTAAAGAGGCTGGGGGAGAAAAGCTTGGCTGAGACAACCCATAGGGAGCTAGAGGTTTTTAATATATCCTATTCTGAATAAGAGACGAATTCATTCAGATCAGTGGTTTCAAACCGTGCTCTGGGCAACTCAATTGCTAAGGGTTCCACAAACAGGATAAAGTTTCTTATATACAAAAAAAAATGAAGGTTTCAAATTACACCATAAAACCCCTCATTGCTTATGTCTACTTGGCAGGTAAAATTCCATTTCAAAAGTTAAATGTACTTAAAAAATTACCTAAGACTGGGTAAATTAAAAAAATTAAATGTTGCAAAGAAAAAATTCAAAATTCTTATTCTTGAATGAAAAACGTTCTCTTACTGGTGATTGAGGAGGAGAAACAAAGACTAACAAATGAAAATGGGAGAATCCACACTCAGAGTGGGGCAATTGAACAGGCAGGGGCGGATGGATGGCAGAGGAGGAGGAATCTGGACTCAAGGAGCTGGGGGGCTCTGGGCCTGGAATTTTAGGGTCTGGGGCCCAAGGCACCAGGAGAAGAGGCAGGTCAGGATATCTGAGTCAAGACCTGGGATCTTGCCTTAGCAATGACACTGGAGACTAAAGGTGGACTCCATGGTGCCCTTGAGCCCAGCCCTACCCCATCTCCACTATCCTCTGCCACCAGCTGTGCAACTTCTGCTAGGGGTGAGGTTAATAAACTGGAGAAGTTAATTTGTGGAGCATGAAACAGATGAGCAGAACAATCACAGCACCTTAATTTCCCCAGTGTGCCCAAGAACAGAGCAGGCCTGAAGATACTCAAACAGAAACAAACATGTGCCGTGTCACTGATAATTCTGTGTAGACACACACCTGCCAGACACTGCTCATGGCACTCCCTAGGAAGAACAGCATGTGGGAAAGGCTGCCAAAATTGTTCATGTAAAAATTACATCAATGCTGTCTTCCTCGGTGCTGCCTATGCAGCTGGCAGCCATCTCTTCCTCCACATCATGGCCTCCCTCAGACTCCTCATGAAGGATAAGATCCTCAAAAAGAGGACCAACAAGTTCATGAGGCACCAATCAGACTGAAATGTCAAAATTAAGCATAACTGGCGGAAACCCAGAGGTCTTAACAGTAGGGTTCGTAGAAGGTCCAAGGGCCAGATCTTGATGCCCAACATTGCTTATGGGAGCAACAACAACAACAAAAAAAACATGCTGCCCAGTGGCTTCCAGAAGTTTCTGGTCCACAGCCTCAAGGAGCTGAAAGTGCTGCTGATGTGCAACAAATCTTACTGTGCTGAGATCGCTCACAAAATTTCCTCCAGAACTGCAAAGTCATCATGGAAAGAGTCACCCAGCCGGCCATCAGAGTCACCAACCCCAGTACCAGGGTGCACAGCTAAGAAAATGAGTAGAAAGTTCATGTCCACGTTTTGTGTGTAAATAAAACCATAAAAACTGCCAAAAAAAATTACATCAATGCCTCTAAACCCAAAGGACTCTACCCCCACAGGTCCCTGGTTGTTGTGGTGATTTTCATTGTGTAAAATACTTTCCACATCTTTTGACACCAAGTCTTTCTGCAGCCATGTTTGAAAATTAACTTTCAGGCTACAGAGTCTTTCTTATACCAAAGTTGAAGAAAGTTTTAAGAAATATATTTCTACATCTCCTACATGCAAAACAACAGGAGCAAGTTGAGGAATTCTCAAGAAACTGGTCGAGAAGAGAGAGCGCTTAGCTATGGAAAAGAGAAAGAAGGAAGGGAGGGCTTCCTGGAGGAGGTGGCATTTGAACCAGGACTGACATCAGGATGGAAATGTCAGTCAGGGAGTTAAGTAGGGGGAGCAGCTCCGCCCTCCACGTCCCCAGCTCCTCCCGCCCCTGTTTTTTCTCCCAGTGACCCCACGTGAAACGTCTCCGCCTCCTCCAGCCACCAGCAGAAGGGACTGCCTTCCCCTCAGTGCTCGCCCCTCCCTAGTGATCACTCAGTGCCCCTGAGCTCATTCTTTTCAGTAAATTCTCTCTCTGCGTGGTGAGAAAACAGGCCTGGAGAGGCTCTGCGACCCGCTTAGGACCACAGAACTCGGTACTAGGAAAACTCCTATTTTAAAATCCAGCCCTGGGTGGGAAGATTTGGGAAGAATCGTTAATATTGAGAGAGAGAGGGAGAAAGAGGATTAGATGAGAGTGGCGCCTCCGCTCATGTCCGCCCCCTCCCCGCAGAGAATTACCTTTTCCAGGGACGGCAGGAATGCTACGCGTTTAATGGGACACAGCGCTTCCTGGAGAGATACATCTACAACCGGGAGGAGTTCGCGCGCTTCGACAGCGACGTGGGGGAGTTCCGGGCGGTGACGGAGCTGGGGCGGCCTGCTGCGGAGTACTGGAACAGCCAGAAGGACATCCTGGAGGAGAAGCGGGCAGTGCCGGACAGGATGTGCAGACACAACTACGAGCTGGGCGGGCCCATGACCCTGCAGCGCCGAGGTGAGTGAGGGCTTTGGGCCGGCGGTCCCAGGGCAGCCCCGCGGGCCCGTGCCCAGGGCGCAGGAGCAGCCGGGTTGGCCTAAGGGACCTTAGTGCCGGGCGGAAAGGGGACTTTGGGTTGGGGATTCATGGGGGGAGCCCATCTGGAGCTTGTCAGGGGAGCGAGCGCGGGGACCTGGACTGGGCTGAGCATGGAGTGAGGAGGACGAGAGCAGAGAGACCCCCGGGACTTCATCAGGCCTGGCAGCTGACTGCATGTGGGGTGAAAAAAGGAAGCCACAGGACAGCGCACAAGGGTATGGTGTGGAGATGGAGGTGGAGATGGCACAGCAGGCCACACAGAGAAGAAACCTACAGGGAGGTAGCTGGGTTTGAGGTGCTTGAGGGGCAGATGGGTGGTCTGATGGGCAGGTAGACAGAAGGGTCTGCAGCCGGGGAGGAGACTGAGATACATGAGACCATCCAGGGAGAGGGGACCCAGGGGGAAGAGCAAAGGACCGGATCCTGGGAACTGGACAGTTGTGATTTGGCCAAGACAGAAAAGCCTGTGAAAGAGACCAAAAAAACCCAAGTGCAGTGTGAGGAGAGGCCCGCAGAGAAGAGTCTTGGAAGCTGAGGGGAGGTGACCTCAGCAGCACAGTGGACAGCGGTGCCAGTGACTTGGGAAGGTCAGAAAACAGAAGATGGAAAGTGGGTTTGGAAACCAGGGAGACCTGGGGAGAGCAGGTTGGCCGCAGCGGCAGGAGCTGGAATGGGAGGGGGTGCATGAGGCTGAGTGTGGCGCATCCTCCTCGGGGCTGAGATGGATTTTACTTGTCTTGGGTTCCCCACGGCTGTCACAGGGCAGTGTCTCAGTTCATTCGTCTTTTTCCTTCAGGAAGTCTGGGTGTAAAGGGATGGAGAGAGGTGAGGTGTGTGCAGTAAGAGGATTTCTCAAGGATGGGACAGGAAGGCCTTGGAGCTTTGGCTTCCTCCTGTGAACTTGTGGGGTGGGGAGCCTGGTGCACCAACCTGAGGGACTTGAGGGAGTAGTATCAGGATGTGGGATTGAGCCCTGGACCTTTTTTCTAGAAAGAGGAAAAAAATGAAGGGAGGAGGAGGAGGAAGCTGGGGAGATCACACCTTTGATTTTCTTGTTCCTGGAAAGTGAAAGGAAGTTCACCTGCTATGAGTGAGAAGGTGGACACACTGGGTGGGGATGAGGTGAGTGACATGAGCTTAGGAAAGTTGCTGAGGTAATTGGTTGAGAGAGGTGTTCAAATAAAAATAACGCAATTGGCAAAAACTGTTACTAAGACTTTGTAGAGGCACCAATCAGTGACATGGCAGCATTTTCTTTCACAGTAATCAACTGCCAGATTGCAGACAGCCCTGATGCCAGCCTAAGGAGTGTGGGTTTCTCCTCCAGGCCCGCAGGTCCCCAACCTCACTCCTCTGAAGACTCTTCTGGAGATCCTCTGTGATGCACAGATCTCCAGACTCAGTGCCCCCAGACTCAGATTCCCTGGGTGGGGAGGTCTGGGGATCTCTGCTTGTAATCAGCTCCCTAGAGGTTCCCATGTAGCCAGATAAGTATTGTCAGAACACTGAAGATTTTTGAAAAATGAAAAAGAGAAGGTTGGAGATGTGTCTTCAGAAGACTACTAAGGGTGCTGGCTAGAGGAGGGACCAGAGGCAGGGAGATGAGGTAGGAAACTGCTATTATTTGTCAGGGAAATTGCAATCAAGGCATGAGTTAGAACAGGGAAAACACAGAGGCAAGGGAGAGGTGGAAGGGGGAGGAAAGAAGTAGTGACAATTCCAGGGTGGATGTCCACCCAAATCTAGAAGTAATTGAGCAAATGTTTTCTGGGCATTAGAGAAGGCAACTAGAACAAACAGGAATCCTTGCCTTGGTGAAATGTATTTGAACTGGGTCAGAAATGAGGCCATTGGGTATCAGGCCTTAACTCCAGCGCACCCTGGAGGTCACTGATGTGGCTCCAGGCTGACCTGCTCCTGTCAAAGAATATTGAGCAAGATGCCTCTCGTGGAATGTTCTGGGACCTTAAAACAGATACCCAAGTATTCCCCCTGATTTCATGGTTCCCAGAAGCTCTATGGGGAAGAAATTGTAGGTAATTCACAACTGAGATTTAGACATAAGTTGAATAGTGTAATGGACATTGAGTTAACCGAGGTAATGAAGTAGTGAGACACAGGTGCCCCTGAAATAAACTCACATTGAGGGAAGAGGCTGACAATGTGGATCAGTCTGAAAACAAGGCAAAAATACAATAGGGAGTAAGGGTTGTGTGTCAGTTCAAGACTGTACTTTTACCTGGCCCAGCGCCATGTTAGGGTATTTGTGTTCTCCAGGAAGTAGAAAGGAAAGAACTGAGTGATTAGGGACCTAGAAGACTAATTTGAGACATTCCTCTTGATGAGCTGTTCTCTAGGGTAGTCCTCTGAAAGAGCTGTTCTCTAGTGGATCTCCCTGAATGAACTGTTCTCTAGGAGCACTTGACCCTTTTCTGTGTTTGTTTTTTGTTTTGTGTTTGTGTTTGTTTTTGAGACAGGTTCTCACTTTGTCTCCCAGGCTGGAGTGCTGTGGCACCATCATGGCTCACTGCAGCCTCAACCTCCTGGGCTCAAGTGATCCTCCTGCCTCAGCCTCCCATGTAGCTAGAACTACAGATACACGTACCACCATGTCTGGCTAATTTATTTTTCTTTTTAGAGATGGGTTCTCACTATGTTGCCCAGGCCGGTCTCAAAACCCTGGGCTCAAGTGATCCTCATGCCTCAACCTCCCAAAGTGCTAAGATTATAGGCATGACCACCATGCCTGGCCTTTTCTGCTTTCTGAGGAGGAAAAAGGTACTGGTGGCAGAGATCCAAAAGAAAAGTTGCCAGTGGCAGTGTGGAAATTCACCTGAGAACAACAGGACAAGCTGGGGCACAAATGCAAAGATGCAGAGGGAGGCAACACCTGGTCATCTGTGAGACCTTCATGGGACCTGAAGACGCAGCACAGAGGAGGAACTTGAAAAAGGACGGGATTTCTACTACTCAAGCATGTAGGAGCTCAGGATATTCTGTAAATATGAAGATTTTGAGTTTTTGTAGGTGAGGTAAAAAAATACATAGGTTTTTTACAGAATAAGACATGTAAAGCTCTCTTCATTTTCTTTGTATTTTCATGAAGTTATTAGATTCACAGGCCACCATAATGCCATTGTCTGTATATCTTAATTTCAAGATATTATTTGAGTAAATTTTGCTTCCTTTGTATCAAGATAGAACTTTGAAAAGGTAGGTAATTTCACAGTTGATCAAATATTCTTTGCCCAAATTACTTTTGGTTAAAATTTCTCCTAAATGTGCTACAGAGTGCAAACTCTGTCTCCCTGCCATTCCGCTATATACTTACTAACTATTATTTTATTCAAGATCATGCATGCTCTACTTGAAGGTCTATTTCTATCTTTTCAATGCTACCCTTACCCACTAGCCTAATCACATTATTCCTATTTTCAACATCTAGGAATCAATTACATAGTGAACATGCCTAAGAAATAATAATCTGGGCAGATGCAGTGGCTCAGGCCCGTAATCCCAGCCCTTTGAGAGGCCGAGCGGGTGGATCACTTGAGGTCAGGCGTTGGTCAAGTGCTCCTAGAGAACCAGGCTGACCAACATGGAGAAACCTTGTCTCTACTAATAATACAAAAATTAGCCAGGTGAAGTGGCAGGCACCTATAATCCCAGCTATTCGGGAGGCTGAGGAAGGAGAATTGGTTGAAGCCCGGAGGTGGAGGTTGCAGTGAGCCAATATTGCGCCACTGCATTCCAGACTTGGCAACAGAGTGACACTCCATCTCAACAAAAAGAAAGAATGAAAGAAAGAAAGAGCGAGATTATGTCTCAAAAAAAAGGAAGGAAGGAAGGAAGGAAGGAAGGAAGGAAGGAAGGAAAGAAGGACAATCTCAAATTCTATTTCATTATTTTTCTTCCACGCTCCTAGTCCAGCCTAGGGTGAATGTTTCCCCCTCCAAGAAGGGGCCCTTGCAGCACCACAACCTGCTTGTCTGCCACGTGACGGATTTCTACCCAGGCAGCATTCAAGTCCGATGGTTCCTGAATGGACAGGAGGAAACAGCTGGGGTCGTGTCCACCAACCTGATCCGTAATGGAGACTGGACCTTCCAGATCCTGGTGATGCTGGAAATGACCCCCCAGCAGGGAGATGTCTACACCTGCCAAGTGGAGCACACCAGCCTGGATAGTCCTGTCACCGTGGAGTGGAGTGAGTCTCTGATGACCCTCTAGACCCCACCTCTGAAGAGCAGGGGACTCTCTGGCTCTGGGGTCCACTCATCTTATCTTCTGCATCTATACCCTGGGGCCATGTCCAAACCCCATCTTTCTTCTATACCAGCTCCTGAGCATAGTTTGAAGCCAGGGAAATGGAGACTTCCTGACCTTGGCTTAGGGGTTCCTGAAGATTCATAGTTCTCCCCCTTGTCAGAGAATCTAGGGACACTGACTGGTCTCGAAACCCTCACACTTAGGAACTGACCTCACACATAGGAACAGTTCTCTTCCTTCAGCATTTTAGCCTCTTCTCAGGCATTTTGAGAGGCAACTTCCAGAATCAGCATTTGCCACCTTGTTGAGGTCACACCCCTGTTCCAGATATGAGGGTGGCTCTTTCTGAATTTCCTCTTAGCAAGCTTTTTCCGCTGCACTGTCCTCATCCCGATATGCTGCATCAGGCTCCAGAATCTCAGACAGGACATGAGTAGGGATGCAGCTGGTGGAGGTGACACTAAACCTGGGTCTGTCCTTCCCAGAGGCACAGTCTGATTCTGCCCGGAGTAAGACATTGACGGGAGCTGGGGGCTTCGTGCTGGGGCTCATCATCTGTGGAGTGGGCATCTTCATGCACAGGAGGAGCAAGAAAGGTGAGAAAGCCTGCAGGGTGAGCGGGACTTACCTTCCCCTGGCATATTCACACTTATTCCACGATGAGGGGTTTGACAGAAAAGAAATGTCAGAAAGCTCTAGAGGCCACTGATATCAGATAATCGGGGAACAAACATGACCTATAGCGAGAGAGGGATCCCAGGCTGGGATCTTAATGCAGCCAGATGCATGAGGTCCCAAGTACTCAGGCTCCTGCGGAGCGTCCATTGAGTGATGGGCAATGGAATTTGGTGGGATGGAAATGTTTCTCTAATTATCTGAGGTGGTTTCAATGGCTGATTATATAACCTTTCGTCTTTCATTTCAGTTCAACGAGGATCTGCATAAACAGGTAATATTCCTGCTTTGATTTCCTTGTGGGGTGGGTTGCAGGAGGATATGAGTCCTTTCTGTGCATTGTAACACTGAGGCTCCTCCAGGAAGGGAATCTCAGGCATGAACCCCTCTTTCAATGTCAGCCTTCAGGCAAGTGGGGAAAGAGCATTGCTTGGCTCCATTGCTGAAGGAAGCAGAGATCAACTCTGTTATTTATCAGCCTGAGACGCATCCTCTCACCATAATTTTTCTCTCCTGGACTTACAGGAAGGAGGCTGGCAACCTGGGATAACTTGTCTTTTACCCCCACAGGGTTCCTGAGCTCACTGAAAAGACTATTGTGCCTTAGGAAAAGCATTTGCTGTGTTTCGTTAGCATCTGGCTCCAGGACAGACCTTCAACTTCCAAATTGGATACTGCTGCCAAGAAGTTGCTCTGAAGTCAGTTTCTATCATTCTGCTCTTTGATTCAAAGCACTGTTTCTCTCACTGGGCCTCCAACCATGTTCCCTTCTTCTTAGCACCACAAATAATCAAAACCCAACATGACTGTTTGTTTTCCTTTAAAAATATGCACCAAATCATCTCTCATCACTTTTCTCTGAGGGTTTTAGTAGACAGTAGGAGTTAATAAAGAAGTTCATTTTGGTTTAAACATAGGAAAGAAGAGAACCATGAAAATGGGGATATGTTAACTATTGTATAATGGGGCCTGTTACACATGACACTCTTCTGAATTGACTGTATTTCAGTGAGCTGCCCCCAAATCAAGTTTAGTGCCCTCATCCATTTATGTCTCAGACCACTATTCTTAACTATTCAATGGTGAGCAGACTGCAAATCTGCCTGATAGGACCCATATTCCCACAGCACTAATTCAACATATACCTTACTGAGAGCATGTTTTATCATTACCATTAAGAAGTTAAATGAACATCAGAATTTAAAATCATAAATATAATCTAATACACTTTAACCATTTTCTTTGTGTGCCATCACAAATACTCCTTAACCAAATACGGCTTGGACTTTTGAATGCATCCAATAGACGTCATTTGTCGTCTAAGTCTGCATTCATCCACCAGCCTAGGCCTCCTGTCTTAATTTTCATACAGACAGAAATGACTCCCCACTGGGGAAAGAGCAAAGCAATACATGTAGCACTCTTTTTCAAACACTGGTCTTTTTTTTTTTCTTAACAATCCAACATTGTTATGTGTTTTGCGTCTCATATTGACACCTTTTGGTCAAGGTAGAGGACATGTTTGTTGTAAGCTTTCTTTTTCGTGTAGAGGATGGATTCTTCACTCCTGATACACACAATCAGTGCACAGCAGCTCTCTTATACATCCAGTTGATGCCTTCAGTCTCCCTGGCTTCTTACAAGCATCTTCTGGGCCTTGTGTGTCCCTGGGCACCTGTCCCTGGTCAATTCCCGAAAGCTACTGTGCTCCTCTTGCCCATCTCCCCTTGCAAATAATATCTTCCATCGGGGGACCGGCTTCCTCCAATTTCAGGAGAGGTGGGGCTGAAGGCACAGACTTGGGCGTCACTGGCACAGATATAAGTAAATACAGCTGGAGTCTGCAGAGAGGCTGGACTGAGTCAGGGAGTCAGGAAAGAGAAGCCACACACAAGGACAACCAATCATGTTTCTCATAATCTTCTTAACCTAGGGAATAGGACACAATCATTTTTTCTTTTTAAAACATCTTTATCCCTGATCAGCCTCATTTCCTCAAAAACTATAAAGGAAAATGCTGCTGACTTGTTTTTGCGTAGTAATTTCAGCTGTCACATAATAAGCTAAGGAAGACAGTATATAGTAAATAAGGACCCTTTATCTGTCTTATTTTCCCTTTTGGCTTCACAGGAAACTTGTGAGAAACCTATGCAGCATAAAATTAATATGATTTCAATCCAGGGATTCAACGATGGAAGGAGGTCATGAGAATAGCAGAAAGTCTTCAAATCGAGATCATTATGAAATCCTCAGACCCAGAGCACATAAATCCTACCCTCAGAGTCACTGAGCAGTTAACATTACAAATTACAAACCATATCCAGTCAGAGTCATTCTCTTTCCTGCTTGTCTCCTGTACTCATGTTACAGGTTAGGGCAGTACCCCGAGTGGAGTGAACAATCTCTGGACTAACACTTGTCAGGATCAGAAGCTGAGGTATCTGCACCCACATTACAGGAACAGGATATGTGCTCCTAGGGAACTGAGGGTGTCAGGAGATGAGGAATGTCCCTGGAGTCACAGAAAGAAGGTATCAGATGTGTCTCACTCTGACATATGCAGGTGTTTATGAAACTCTGGGATTTCTAAGGAAGGATGCAGTGCAGAGACAGGTCCCAGAGGAGACAAGAGCTGAGAGACCATCCAAACTGGGACCACCTTGTCACTAGACTTCAAATTTTCAATATTGATAGAGTGTTTTCTAAGAGTCAGGCCCTTTGCTGAGTGCTATGTGCAGCAGGATCAAAGGCAGCCAGGAGGTAGAGGAGTCTTGAGGTACATCAGTCATTGGAGTTGAAGAGCAGAGATTCAAAGGAAAGTTGGAACTGGAGCTTTAAAGGAGATGTGAAGTGGGTGACTCAACCTCTGACTCAGAAAAATTGATACCTGCAGAAGAAAAAACCCGGCGGGCTTAGGACTCCCAGCTGAGTGTTGTATCCTCCATCCCTTTCCACCTGGTCCCTTCATTTTCTACCCCTCACAGTTCCCTAACGAGAAGGTGGTCCACCCAACAGACAACACTGCCTCAGATGGTTATCAAGGGGTACCCTAAGAAGAAATCATCTCACCCTCTCTTTGTCCCCATTTGTCAAGTAGCAGTGAGGCCGAGCCAGGGGATGGTGAAAGTGGAAGGAGGTGGGAGTTGGGCATCGGGTGTGAAGATGCTCTTGAAAGGGGTTTTAATAACCACTTGCTACCAGGCCAGTGAACACTTACCATAGTTGATGCCTTTTGAGCATGTTGCATTGTAAACTGTCCCTGAAATTACTGTGCACTTGGCTTATGGGATGAAACATCCTCCTAGTTCTTTTGTCTCTCAGCTTCTCTGAAGTCTCATTGAGCACCTTCTCTTCAATTTCTTTTACACAGTAAGAATAGGATCAGCTGTGCTAAACTAACAAATACCCAGATATCCAGGTTTGGCTCATGTTACACGTCCAAAGTAAGTCATGCAGGAAGCTCTGCTCATCATCGTACTCAGGAAGTCAGGCTGACAGTCTTTCTCCTGCACATCTGCTCCCAGAACCTCCCCAGCAGAATGAAGGGAACCTAAGAATTTATTCACTGGCTTTTAATGATCCCTCCTAGAAAGAACACACTTCTCGCATTTCATTTTCCAATGTAAATCATATGGCTGCAACTAACTTCAAATAAGTGGGAATACTTGAAGGTGGAAAACATTTAAGAAGTACACACTAAATAAATAATAAAATACTTCTACAAGAGATATTTATGGAGGACCTACTGTGTACCAGGAGCAATGCTAGGCATTATGGATATCAGCAGCCTTTGGCTCCTGAAAAGCTTACACACTACCTCCTGGCCTAAGGAGGGGCACAGGGATGCTGGCAACAGTCTATTTCTTCACCCGGGTACTAGTTACATGGGTGCTTGCGGTGATAACCATTCAACGTACATTCTATTGGTTTGTGTGTTTCTTCCAAATGTCCCCTAGTTCACAATAGAAAGGGCTTAAATAGAGAAGTAAAGGAGAATTTGGGAATTTGAAGCAAAAGCAAGAAGCCACTGAATCAAGCACAAATATTGAGCTTTGATAAAGATTGGAATAAGAAACATAATAAATGAGACAAGAAATAGGACTTTTGCAACTGAAGTGTAATTAATAAACAAAAAGCCAAACTGAGAAACTGTCCCAAGGACAATATGATCGAGTAAACAATAGAAAATGTAAAGGACAAGTGAAGAGAAATGAAGGATAGAAACAGACATCTGACATCTTAATAATTAGACGTCTAGAAAGTCAGGGAAATAGTGGAGGAAGAGGAAATAACTGAAAACATAATAGATGTTTAGTCTTTATAGAAAGATGAAATAAGTTCATTCAAAATGCTGCATAGAATGTCAGACTGTTAAACAATTTTGTTAGAGTAAAATGACTGTAAACAAATGAGCTAATTATGTGAATTAAGAGGATGGAAAAGCAGAAAAACAGCAAAAAGAAAATACATGTAAATAATAAGGACAAAAGCTGAATTCAATGAAATATAAAAATAGAGAAGATAAAATCAAATTTTGAGGCAATGAAAACTTTAATGAGACCTCTGGCAAGACTCCTAAGGAAAATACAGGAGATTCAGAACGAAAAGGGTAAATGACATTTATACACATTTTAAAATGCAAAATCTTACGACCAACTCTATACATATAAATTTGAAAATTTAGATAAAACGGATACGTTTCTAGAAAGATATAAAGGTCAAAACTACAGGAAGAAATAGAAAACTAAAATAGAGTAGAGAATATCAAAGAAATTGTCATGGGAAGCAAAGAATCGCCTTCCAAAGGGCCCTGTCCTGATCTTATTGCAGATGAGGGTG
This sequence comes from Homo sapiens, assembly GCF_000001405.40. NCBI lineage: Eukaryota > Metazoa > Chordata > Mammalia > Primates > Hominidae > Homo > Homo sapiens. The sequence goes on from NT_167245.2 coordinate 4,334,331, forward strand.
TCCTCCCACATTTCCAGGAGCAGATCATGCCTCTTACACGTGTGATTCTAGAACATAGAATGGAACAGAATTTTTGAGATCATTTTATGAGGTTGGTTCATTTATATTTCCAGAGCCAGCTAAGAATAGTACAGGAGAACAGGATTGTGGACTAATTTTAGCCATGTCACTGAATCCAACAGTACATTATAAAAACAATACGTTTTGACCAATTTTAGATTTATTCTAGGAATGCAATGATTCTTCAGTGTCAGAAAATATATAATGTGGTTAACACATTAGTGGACTCCGCAAAATTCATATTAATTTAAACTGAATTCAGCTCAAGACATAGACAGAATTTAATCAATTTCATGACATGTTAAAGGTAGTGAACCAAAAATCTATAGCATATATATTTCAAAGAAATGAGGTGGATTGCCTTTGAGATTGTGCAAAAGATAGGATGTCCTTCGTTGCTGGAAATGTTTAACATAGCATTGGAAGTTCTGAACATCACTCTGCGGGCAGAAGAAAATTAAGGCTGTGTAAAATGTAGGAAGACAGATAGTGACTGCAGATGAAATAATCTAAATACTGGACAAGACTGCAGCCACTGCAGGCCCAAAGCCTGGGTTTAAATCCAAGCTTTGCACTTTGAAGCTGTGTGGTCTTCACCTCTCCCGGTGTCTGATTCCTGCTCTGTAACATGAAATAAATAAGAACCAACCTCCAGATGTAAATAAGTGAACACATGAGAAGCACTTAGAATAGTGCCTAGAACATAGTAAGCAACTCAATGAATGTCATTTCTCATTACATTTGTTAATGTTTTTATCCAGCCCAATGGCAGTAAAACATCAATGCTCAAAGAGCCCCTGGTGAAGTGTTTCTCTTTCCCACTCTTCACCCCTAACTTGTTACCTCGTCTTTTCCACTCTGTCCCTAATACACCTATAGGATGACTCATAGGAGCCCCTGGACCCGGGGATGCTGTCAGATCGCTTGGTCTTTGAGACAATGGTGCCATTAAGGACCCCCGCCAGGCCCACCAGCAGGCCGAGGGCACAGACCAGCATCTCCATGGTCTCAGGCACCTGGATTAGTTCATGGACCTCTGGGGCACCAAGGGAAGACAGAGTTATAAGGTACAGAGAGCAGGGGCTGGCCTTGGATGTGGGAGGTGTTGGGTATTCGAAACCATGAGATGGTGAAATTTGGATAAAGTGACCATAAAACATGGGATTGAGGAAGGCAGGTGCTGAGGGGCGATGGGCCCAGGAAATAAAGGTGGTGCCAAGGCCGTGAGGGCAGAGGGAGGGCGCTCCATACCCCAGTGCCTGAGGAGAGGCTGGTGCAGGCCCCAGTGCTCCCCCTGGAGGTCACAGGTGTCCTCGGCCATGGGAACGAGGGTCAGATAGTGGAACCTGTGTAATCTGAGTTTCTTGCTGGGCAGGAAGATGGTCTCTGCAATACCCTCAATGACTGGCTCCCCATTGCGCAGCCACGTGATGTTCAGCACTGGTGGGAAGAACTTGTCAACATGGCAGACGAGGGTGTTGGGCTGGCCCAGATCCACAGGCTCCTTGGGAAAGACGCTTACCTCGGTGGGGGCTCCAAAAGGGGATAGAACCCAAGGAGCCTACTGCCATTGGCTGATTCTTAAAGGTTCCACCACCCCAAGTCCTATATTCACCAGATTAGGGGCCACCTCTCCCAGGCCCATCCTCCTGCTCCCCTAGGGCTCCTGGACAGGGTCACAGCTTCTCGTGCTCCTGACCTGGCCCCCTCAGCCCAGCCTTTCTCTTGAGTAAGAAGAAAATGCCTCCTCCTCTGCTGTCCTAAGAACCCAGCTGTGTGGACCCAAGATTTCTCGCTCTCAGGGAAGGGGCTCATTCATGAGTGGGCATCATGGCCTCTAGTTCTATGTGTGGCAGAGAGGCCCTCCCATCCCTCCAGCTGGACTCTAGAGGAACAGGCAGCTATAGGCAGTGCCATTTGTGGCCCAAGTCTGTTTGGACCATTGATCCGGGTGTTCAAGTGCTTCCTTGCCATGACGATGCCAGCAATACCCCTCTGAGAGGAACAGGCAGCTATAGGCAGTGCCATTTGTGGCCCAAGTCTGTTTGGACCATTGATCCGGGTGTTCAAGTGCTTCCTTGCCATGACGATGCCAGCAATACCCCTCTGAGCACCAAAGTCAAAGGTGTGAATAAACTCTGGTAGAGGCCAGACCATCTCCTTCTCATCCAGGTTCACGTAGAACTGCTCCTCCTCATCAAATTCAAACATATACTCCCCAGAGGGTCTGTGCGTCTGCACAAACTCCGCATATGTTGACACATGGTCTGCTGCATGAAGGAGAAGATGGAGAATGGGTGAATACGTAGGATGCTACACAGAATGCAGGAAGCAAACAGGTAACAGGAAGGTTATTGGGAACATGAAGGAATAACACAGAAAATGAGAAATGCAAATGAAAGAAAAGAAAAGGAGTGAGAAGAAACAAAGACAGAAATGACCCATGGACGATATAGGTTGTTTCCCTTGTCCCTGAAGACTTAACATCCGTCTATGATAATGGTAATGCTGAATACAGTAAGATAATATTTATTGGGCACTTACTATGTGCTAAACTTACTCATTGAATCTTCACACCCCCATGTAGAAGAACTTATTTTCCATAGTAGGGAACTGACCCCAGAGGTAAAGTAACTTGTCCAAGTCACACAACTCCTGGTAGAAACAATATTGAGTAGTCCTCCTACCTCATTCCTGTAGGATCTCAGAAACCCTACAGGACAATACATTAAAAATTACTGATATAGCCATAAAGCAAGGCAGGGAAGTGGAAGGATGGAATAAATATTTCAGAGTGGAACAAAATCGTGAAGGACATGAAAATACCTCCAGAGTCTTAGTGACATTTATAGACTTCAAGTTACATTCTTACTTTTAGAAGAAAAATGATACCTTCTATAATTTTATCCACAACACTTACATTTTAGGCAGAGTAAATTTAAAAGTATTATCATTCACATAACATTCACAAAATTGTCTTGTGGAGTGTAGTTTTCAAGTGTAGTTTCACCTGGAAATACAAGTTGTTGGCATTTGAAAGACCTATGGGATAGTATCTTAGCTTTACCTGATACATAAGAAGCAGCAACTGGTTGATAACAAAAAGTGAATTATTATTACAGTGAATTACAGAGAGTTTAGGGTTCGGCCTGGAAGAGGAAGTGAAGCCAAATGACACTGCATGGTTGGTGGTCCCTAAGTGAGGATTTCCCCTCCCAGCCCAGCATGGGGAGAACCAGTCCTCTACTTAGATGCATAGTGTGACAGCAGGTTCAGTGCCGCACACGGATGGTGAGGGTCCCCCACTGAGTTTAGGGTCTAGAGGATTACTCACCTACAGAAATGAATCCCAAAGGAAAAAGAAAAATACATGGTGTATAGACTGGGCTACACAGATGTAATTGGTTCAGCTTAGGTTACTTTGTATTTATTATATTTACAAAATCTGAAAACTAAAGGTTGGCACATTTTGAAGCAAATTCCACACTTCAAATGTTAATTTTCATTCAGTTAATAAATGCTTTTTGTGAACTTTCACTCTCTAGGTAATAAGGATGAAACTCTAAAGATGGGAACTTTGTCCTTAATCTACTTGAAATTCAAGAATAAAACAGACAAAGAAAAGATGATTGCTACATGTGTGGTTTGATCACCACTGAGTATCACAAGGTATACACAAGAGCTACTCAGGAGCAAAATTAAAATACGATTTAGGAAAGGTTCCTAGGGACAGTGTTCACCTGCAGATAGCAAAACAGAGAAAGGGGAAATGGCATTTCCAGCAGGAGAAGCAGGCTCAGGAGCAGAGAGGCATGAAGTTGCAAGGAGAACTGCAGTTCTTCAGTGTGACTGAAGCCAGGGGAGATGTGGGCCAGGCAGCACTGTAACCTGCCTTGTGTGCTGATGGCAAGTGTTTGCATTTTATCCCACAGGACATAGGAAGTTGTGAAGTATCTTAAGCAGGAGAGTAACACGGTCAGATTTGTGTTTGGATGGGGCACCTGTAGGAAGGATGGGCTGGAGGAGGCGGGACTCAAGGCAAGACCAGTAGCACTTTTAAGCCCTCTGGTGGGAAGTAATGAAGGCGTAGGCCAGGGCAGGAACATGGGGTGAGGAGGACAGCAGATGGATTTGATGGCAGTAATGACATGAGAGGCCACAGGAATCACTAAATCACATGCCAGAAGTAGGGATATGAAGAAGTCGAGAATAACCACGCAACGTGGAGAATTGTGGCATCCGTGCCTGCAAAGGTGATAATTAAGTGATTGAGAGAAGGTAAAATTTTCTGTTTGAGACATACTGAATTTAAACTTCTAGGGGAAAACATACAGTTGATTTGAAGGCAGTGAAATAAATGGATGAGTGTCATGCTACATTAGGTTAGTGACATAAACTGGAAGGAGGCTCATGGTGGGTGAAGTTCTAATTTTGGGTCAGGTCACTCAAGAAAAGTACACAAAGTCAGGATAGCAGGGATCTGAGTGTGTGCTCCTGCATCCAGACAAACACAGACATGAAGAAAGAGGCTGAAAAGCAGAGGACTAGAAATTGGTAGGAAAACAGAGAGGAAGTGGGTTCATAAAAGACAAGAGACAGGAGAAAACTTCCAGGAAAGAGGAGAGGGGGCATCTCAAACACACTAATGACACACATAAGACAGAAACAGAACAGTGACCACTGGCTTGAGTTGTATAAAAGTCATTAGTTGCCACCCTGAGAGGAGCATCAGAGATGAGGGAAAGAAAAAGAGAGAGTACATTGGGTTGAGGACTGAATGAAATGGGAGAAAATCGATAATAGGCTGGGCACAGTGGCCCATACCTGTAATCTCAGTGATTTGAGAGGCCGAGACAGGAGGATCACTTGAGGCCAGGAGTTTGAAAGCAGCCTAGGAAACATAGTGAGAGTCCATCTCTAAGAAAACAATTTTGGATTCCCTGCCTTCCATGAGCAACACAGCAAACATAAGCTCTGCAGATGTGCTCAGACTTGAGCCTGACTCACTGAAGAGAGTGTGGTGCTGCCAGGCCTCAGACACCAGATTATAATCAACCTCTTCCCAGGCCCTGCACAGGAGAGGCCCACTCTGTGGGGCATACAGTGCCCAGGGGTGGTACAGGCCCTGCAGAGACCACAGACTGTTCACCTGACAAGAAATATCTTGAGGAACTCACTTCACAGATCCCTCAAGAAAGGAACCACTGCAGGAGAATACCCAGAAAATCGAAAGAATTCACAGATCCTTTTAAAGAAGGGAGGGGCCACTGCAAACTCCACCAGACAAGTGAAAAACTGTGCGTTCCCAAAGCGTGAGAGGGGAAAAACCTGCCTCCGGACCCATGTCCCCACTGGGGAACTCGAAAATCCAGATTACAGGAAAAGGATTTAACTTTACCTAGACCTGAAACAGATTTAGCATGAAATACAAAAGTACGCCGGGCGCTGCCGCTCACACCTGTAATCCCGGCACTTTGGGAGGCCGAGGCGGGCGGATTACAAGGTCAGGAGATTGAGACCATCCTGGCTAACACGATGAAACCCCGTCTCTACTAAAAATACAAAACAATTAGCCAGGCGTGGTGGCGGGCGCCTGTAGTGCCAGCTACTAGGAAGGCTGAGGCAGGAGAATGGCATAAACCCGGAAGGCGGAGCCTGCAGTGAACCGAGATCGCGCCACTGCACTCCAGCCTGGGTGACAGAGTGAGACTCCGTCGCAACAAAAAGAAAAAAAAAATATATATATATGGTAGATGCAGCAGTGAGAAGAGCCTTGTAGGCACGCCCAGTCTTTAGCTCAAGCCCAGGGAAGCCACCCCTGACTATATCTCACAAGGGCCCTGGGGGAAGGCAGACGGCAAAATTTGGAAGGGGTCACAGTGTGAAAGGAGCGTCCAACTGAAATTTGTTATAATTCTGACTGGGCACAAATCCTCTGGAGCAGAATCTGGGGGCGAACGGAACTGCTGGAGAAAGAGCAGAAGTTACTGCCAACATTGTGGGCAGACAGGGAGGCACATGGCCTGAAAGCTGTGCTTGCTTTCTCAGCAGGAAACTTATAGCCTGGAGTGAGGTCTGAGTCCATCCTGAAGGCTGCAGGGAGATAAATTCAATGCTGTTAGTGTGGCACAGCAGGAGCAAAACCTGCCTCGCCAACTGCATGGGAGCTGGGTGAAGCCTATTGCTACCAGGTTTCCCCTACTTCTCTGGTGACAGAGGCAGCCATAATGCCCTCTGGAACATAATTCCATTGGCTGGAGAAAAACCCTCCGCCCCATCCCTCACAGTGGCTGCCGCAAGCCCCCCGCCCGAGGAGAGTCTGAGCTCAGACCTGCCTAACCCTGTCCACACCTGAGGGCATTTCTCTACCCACCTGGTAGCCAATCACAAAAGACGTAAACTCTTGGGAGCTTTATGACACCACTCATTGCCTGAGAAACTGAATATTTATCTTGGCCAACTTAGGGCAAGCTTATATCCACCTTCTACTATTGTAGCTGGTGCCCTCTTGAAAGCACCACATCCTGGCTGGAGGCCAACCAACTCAGGACATTACAACAATTCACGACAGAATAACTGCTCTAAGAAAGGAGAAAACAGCTAATTCCACTGGCTGAAAAATCTTGACTAACCAGTGGTCTTCGGTCTGTTCACATGACAACTGCACTGCTAGCATAACCAGCATTTGAGAAAGCCACCACACTAAGTCTATCTACAACCAAGGATTCTCACAGAGTCTACTTCACTCCCCTACCACCTCCACACTGGACCCCAGCAATAGATCCAAACTAAGAAGAAATCTCTGAATTGCTAGATAGAGAATTCAGAAGGTTGATTTTAAGCTACTCAAAAAGATACCAGAGAAAGGTGAAAAACAACTTAAATAAATTTTTTAAAAACACAGGATATGGATTAAAAATGCCCCAGGGACGTAGATATCATAAAGAAGAAACAATCCAACTTCTGGAAATGAAAGACACACTTAGAGAAATACAAAATGCACTGGAAAGTTTCAACAATAGGATCCAACAAGTAGAAGAAAGAACTTCATAGCTCAAACAACAAGCCTTTCGAATTAACCCAGTCAGACAAAGACAAAGAAAAAAGAACTTTAATAAATAAACAAAGCCTCCAAGAAATTTGGGATTATGTTAAATGACCTAAGAATGATTGGCATTCTTGAGGAAGAACAAAAATCTAAAAGTTTGGAAAACATATTTGAGGGAATAATCAAGGAAAACTTCCCTGGCCTCGCTAGAGATCTACACAACCAAATACAAGAAGCTCAAAGACCACCTGGGAAATTTATCACAGAAAGATTATCGCCCAGGCACATAGTCATCAGGTTATCTAAAGTCAGGACAAAGGAAAGAATCTTAAGAGCTGTGAGGCAAAAGCATCAGGTAACCTATAAAGGAAAACCTATCAGATTAACAGCAGCCTATAAGCCAGAAAAGACTGGGGTCTTATCTTTAGCCTCCTCAAACAAAATAATTTCCAGGCAAGAATTTTGTATCCAGCAAAACTAAGCGTCATAAATGAAGGAGAGATAAAGTCTTTTTCAGACAAACAAATGCTGAGAGACTTCACCGCTACCAATCCAGCACTACACAAAATGCTAAAAGGAGTTCTAAGTCTTCAAACAAAACTCCAAAATACACCAAAATAGAACCTCCTTAAAGCATAAATCTCACAGGGCCTATAAAACAGTAATGCAAAGGAAAAAAATAAGGAATTCAGGCAACAACTAGCATGAGAAATAGAACAGTACTTCACATCTCAATATTAACACTCTCCACTTAAAAGATACAGAATGGCAGGAAGGATAAAAATTCAGCAACCAAGTATCTTCAGTCTTCAAGAGTCATCTAATGTGTAAGGACTCACAAAAACTTAAGGTAAAGGAGTGGAAAAAGATATTCCATACAAATGGAAAACAAAAGCAAGCAAGAGTAGCTATTCTTATATCAGTCAAAACAGATTTTAAAGCAACAACAGTTAAAAAAGACAAAGAGGGACATTATACAATGATAAAAGGATAACTCCAACAGGAAAATATCACAATCCTAAACATATATGCACCTAACATGGGAGCTTCCAAATTTATAAAACAATTATTACTAGACATGAGAAATGAGATAGACAGCAACACAATAATAGTGGGGACTTCAATACTCCACTGACAGTACTAGAAAGTCATCAAGACAGAAAGTCAACAATGAAACAATGGACTTAAGTTACACTAGAAGAAATAAACTTAACAGATATTTACAGAACATTCTACTCAACAACTGTAGAATATACATTCTTCTCATCAGCACATGAAACATCCTCCAAGATAGACCACATAATAGGCCACAAAACAAGCCTCAACAAATTTAAGGTAATCAAAATTATATCAAGTCCCCTCTCAGACCACAGTGGAATAAAATTGGAAATTAACTCCAAAAGAAACCTTCAAAACTATACAAATACATGGAAATTAAATAATTTGCTCCTGAATGATCTTTGGGTCAACAGTGAAATCAAGATGCAAAATTCTCTGAACTGAATGATAATAGTGACACAACTTGTGAAAACCACTCGGACACAGTAAAAACAGTCCTAAGAGGAAAGTTCATAGCATTAAATGCCTATATCAAAAAGTCTGAAAGAGCACAAATACAAAATGTAAAGTCACACCTCAAGGAACTAGAGAAACAAGAACAAACCAAACCCAAACCCAGCAGAAGAAAAGAAATAACAAAGAGAGCAGAAGTAAATGAAATTGAAACAAAAAAATACAAAAGATAAATGAAACATGAAGCTGATTCTTTGAAACGATACATAAAATTGATAGACCATTAGTGAGATTAACCAAGAAAAGAGAGGATCCAAATAACCTCAATTAGAAACAAAATGGAAGAAAATGCCACTGATATTACAGAAATATAAAATATCATTCAAGGCTAATATGAACACATTCACAGGCACAAACTAGAAAACCTAGAGAAGACAGATTCCTGGAAATATACAACCCTCCTAGAATAAATCAGGAAGAAATAGAAACTGTGAACAGACCAATAAAAAGCAGAAAGATTGAAATGGTAATTTTTAAAAAACTGCCAACGATAAAAAATCACAGATTCACATGGACTCACAGCTGAATTCAATCAGACATTCAAAGAAGAGAATTGGTACCAATCCTACTGAAACTATTCCAAAACAGAGAAGGAGAGAATCCTCCCTAAATTATTCTATGAAGCCAGGATCGCCCTAATACCAAAACCAGGAAAGGACATAATAAAAAAGAAAACTACAGACCAATATCTCTGATGAAAATAGATGCAAAAATCCTCAACAAAATACAAGCTAACATAATCCAACAGCATATCAAAAAGATCATACATGGTGATAAATTGGGTTTCATGCCAGGGATGCAAGGATGATTTAATACACACAAGTCAATAAATGTGATAGATCACATAAACAGATTTGAAAACAAAAATCATATGATCTCAATAGATGCAGAAAAAGCATTTGACAAAATCCATCATCGCTTTTTTATTAAAACCCTCAGCAAACTTGACATACAAAGATCATAACTTAAGGTAATAAAAACCATCTATGACAAACCCACAGCCGACCTTATACTGAACGGGGAAAAGTTCAAAGCATACCCCCTGAGAACTGGAACAAGATAAGGATGCCCACTCTCACCACTTCTATTCAACATAGTACTGGAAATCCTAGCCAGAGCAATCAGACAAATCAGTAAATAGGAAGTCAAACTGTCACTGTTCACCAATGATATGACTGTATACCTAGAAAACCATAAATACTTATCCAAAAAGCTCCTAGATCTGATAAATGAATTCAGTAAAGTTTCAGGATACAAAATCAATGTACACAAATCTGTAGCACTGCCATATACTAACAGTGACCAAGCTGAGAATTAAATCAAGAACTCAACCCCTTTTATAGTAGCTGCAAAAAAATAAAATACTTAGGAATATACCTAACCAAGGAGGTTTACTGGGGGAACCAGCCCCCAATATTTCAAAGTATGTTCTTTTCTATTTTCCCTAAGTGTGGGCCAGTCTGAGAAATAAAGAGAAAGAGTACAAAAGAGAGAAATTTACAGCTGGGTCTCCGGGGGTGATATCACATGTCAGCAGGTTCCATGATGCCCACCTGAGCCGCAAAACCAGCAAGTTTTTATTATGGATTTCAAAAGGGGTGGGGGTCTATGAATAGGGAATGGGTCACAGGGATCACATGCTTCAGAGGGCAGTAAAAGATCACAAGGCAGAGGGCAAAACTAGAATCACTGATGAGGTTCCACATCCCGCTGGGCACACATTGTCATTGATAAACATCTTAACAGGAAACAGGGTTCGAGAGCAGAGAACCAGTATGACTAGAATTTGCCAGGCTGGAATTTCCTAATCCTAGCAAGCCTGAGGGCACTGCAGGAGACCAGGGCATATTTCATCCCTTATCTTCAACCATGTAATTCAGACACTCCCAGAGTGGCCATTTTAGAGACCTCCCCCGGGAATGCATTCTTTTCCCAGGGCTATTCCTTGCTGACAAAAGAATTCAGCGATATTTCTCCTATTTGCTTTTGCAAGAAGAGAAATATGACTCTGTTCTGCCTGGCCCTGCAGGCAGTCAGACCTTATGGTTATCTCCCTTGTTCCCTGAAAATTGCTGTTATCCTGTTCTTTTCAAGGTGCCCAGTTTTCATATTGTTCAAACACACATGCTTTACAAACAATTTATGCAGTTAACGCAATCATCACAGGGTCCTGAGGTGACATACATCTTCAGCTTACAAAGATGACAGGATTAAGAGATTAAAGTAAAGACAGGCATAGGAAGTTATAAGAGTATTGATTGGGGAAGTGATAAATGTCCATGAAATCTTCACAATTTATGTTCTTCCACTGTGGCTTCAGCCGGTCCCTCCATTCAGGGTCCCTGACTTCCCGCAATAGAGGTTAAACACCTGTACGAGGAAAATTAAAAACACTGCCGAAAGAAATTATAGATGACACTAACAAGTAGAACCACGTCCCATGCTCATGGAAGGGTAGAATCAACATTGTGAAAATGACCATACTGCCAAAAGCAATCTACAAATTCAATGCAATCCCCATCAAAATGCCATCATCATTCTTTACAGAGCTAGAAAAAAACAATCCTAAAATTCATATGGAACTACAAAAGAGCCCACATAGCCAAAGTAAGATTAAGCAAAACGAATAAATCTGGAGCATCACATTACCTGACTTCAAAATATACTGCAAGGCTATAGTCACCAAAACAGCATGGGAATGGTATAAAAACAGGCACATAGACAAATTGAACAGAATAGAAGTCCCAGAAATAAAACCAAATACTTACAGCCAACTGATCAAACAAAAACATAAAGTGGGGAAAGGACAGCGTATTCAACAGATGGTACTGGGGAAATTGGCAGTCCACATGCAGAAGAATTAAACTGGATCCTCATCTCTCACCTTATACAAAAATCAACTCAAGGTAGATCAAAGACTTAAATCTAAGACCTGAAACCATAAAAATTCTAGAACATTGGAAAAACTCTTCTAGACATTGGCATAGGCAAAGAGTTCATGACCAAGAACCCAAAAGCAAATGCAAAAGAAACAAGATAAATAGATGGGACCTAATTAAACTAAAAAGTTTCTTCAAAGGAAAAGAAATAATCATCAGAGTAAACAGCCCACAGAGTGGGAGAAAATATTCGCAAGCTATACATACAAAAAAGGACTAATATCCAGAATCTACAAAAAACTCAAACAAATCAGCAAGAAATAAACAAATACTCCCATCAAAAAGTGGGCTAAGCAGAGGAACAGACAATTCTCAAAAGAAAATATACAAATGGTTGACAAACATATGAAAAAATGCTCTACATCACTAATTATCAGGGAAATGCAAATCAAAACCACTATGTGATACCAACTTACTCCTGTAACAATGGTCATAATTTAAAAATAAAAAAAAAAATAGACGTTGGGGTAGGTGTGATGAAAAGAGAACACTTCTATGCTACTGGTGGGAAATTAAACTAGTACAACCTATGGAAAACAGTACAGCGATGCCTTAAAGAACTAGAAATAGATCTACCATTTGATCCAGCAATCCCACTACTGGAGGAAAAAAGCCATTGTATGAAAAAGACACTTGCACACACATGTTTACAGCACCATGATTCACAATTGCAAAAATATGGAACCACCCCAAATGCCCATCAGTTAATGGGTGAATGAAGAAAATGTGATATATATATATGTGATATATATATATGTGATCTATATATATATAGATCACATATATATATATATGATCTATATATAGATCACATATGATATATATGTGATCTATATACCTTAGAATACTACTCAGCCATAAGAAAGAATGAAATAACATTTGCAGCAACCTAGGGGGAATTAGAAACCATTATTTTAAGGGAAGTAACTCAAGAATGGAAAACCAAATATTGTATGTTCTCACTTATAAGTGGGAGCTAAGCTATGAAGACACAAAGGCATAAGAATTATATAATGGACTTTGAGGACTTCCAGGTATGAGTAGGAGCTGGGTAAGGGATAAAAGACTACACACTGGATACAGTGTACATTCCTCAGGTGATGGGTGCACCAAAACCTCAGAAATCACCACTAAAGAACTTATCCATATAACCAAACACCACCTGCTCCCCAAAAACTATTGAATTAATTTTTCAAAATGATTTTTTAAAAAACTTTTATTGGAAGGACCCTCCGGAGTTCTGAGGAGGAGGCCTGAGCATATGTGGGGAAGGCACAGATGAACACATAGGAGGGATCTCTAAGAAAACAATGGCCACCAGGTCACTGCTAGACTCACCACAGGGCCTTCTAAACCAGGGGGCCCCTCCACGAGCATACCCTGTGGAGTCAAAGGTTAAAACTCACAGGTGACAGGGCCAGCACACTAAACCCCACTTGCTTCTCCTCTTTCCACCACCTCAGCCCTGTGACCAGCATGACTTACAGGTTCCAGCACTGCAGGCTCTCTCTTCTCTCCCTTCAGCCCCCGGGGCCCATGGGCAGCCTAAGGGAGACACACATGTAACCCCAGTGGGGCCCATGAGCAGCCAGGACACCAGGCCTGCCCCCATCTCAACTCCAACCTCGATTTTGGGTCCTCTGGAGACCAGACCAGCCCTACCCACAAGCCCCACAGGCTTCCTCTAAATACTTCTGTTCACAAAACTCTCATGCCTGCCAAGGAGATCTCAGGGTTCCCTGCACCCCAGTTCTCAGTCCCACCTCAGCAAACACAACCTCTCCAAATCCTGAAGAGCCTCTTTCAGAAAGAGGACTTTGAGTCTTTCAGTCTTTCTCCAAAAAAGAAAAGGTATATGCCCTTATGCACAAAATTTTATTTAGAATTTGAAGGAGTTCAAAAATGTAAAAACCCTGCACAGGTTAAGTATCCATACTCCAAGTAAATTTGGAGAGCATTTCCCAGAGATATTCCAAACTCAGGCCTCATAACTGCCTTTTGCAAAACATACAGTTCTTGGGCTCAGTTATCCAAGCCCCAGAGCAGCCCCCTACAATGCACCCCACAGTTCCTCTCCCAGCAGGATGCTTTGCCCTTCTTCTGGCCCTCATGTACACTCCAAGCCAACCAGTTCCCTCCCTTGCACACCTCCATTCAGATGCCTGTTCCCAAATCCAGGCCATAGCCAAGATAAGGGTGGGGAGAAGGTGAAACATTCACCACCACCCCAACTCCCCAAAACAAAGATCTTCAGAATGCCCCTCTCCACCTTCATCCTGACAGCAATGATCCGTTTCAAAATTCTCCCAGATCCCACATCAACCCCAAAGACCCAGACAGCAGCATAAAGGAAAGGCAGCAGAAGCTCACGGGTGCCAAGAGCAGGAGGTGTGGGATGCAGCAGCAGGGTAGAAAAGGCAGCCATAACTGCAAGGCAGGCAGAAGATGTAGCAGAGTAGACAGGAAGCAGTCCAACTGACAGAGAATACTGGAAGATATGAGAACAACTAAGGGACACAAAATAAAATGACAAACACTTGGATGCAAGAGTGATGCCAGGGCCAAGGAAAATTAAACATGGCCAAGATGGCC